>NC_000004.12:96497138-96800168 GCF_000001405.40 Homo sapiens | reverse complement strand
CTATAGCACAATGTTAAACATGGAATACTGACAATGATACATTCAAGATACAGAACAGTTCCATCACCATAAGATCCCTCTTATGGTGTGTGTATATATATACACACACACACACACACACACACCAAATGAAATTTAAAAACTGACATTTTTACTCAAACAATTCATAAGATATTCCCCAGGGATTCATTTGATTTGTTATGTGCTTTACTTCTTTATTCCTTTTACTAATGAGTAACATTCCATGGTATGGATGTACCACAATTTGTTTAACCATTCACCTATTGAGAAACATCTGCTTGCTTCAGGCTTTTGGCTAGTACAAATAAAACTACTATGAACATATATATATAGGTTCTCGTGTGATTATACATGTCTATTCTATTGGTATGAATGCCCAAGAGTGCAATTGCTGCATCATATGATAGTTGATGTTCAGTTTTAAAAGAAACTCCCTAACTGTTTTTCCAGAATGGCTCTAACTAACACAGAGGTATCCAATCTTTTGCCTTCTCTGGGCCACACTAGAAGAAGAATTATCTTGGGTCACACATAATACACTAACACTGACGAAAACTGGTGAACAAAACAACAACAAATCAAAAAACTGCAAAAAAAATCTCATAACGTTTTAAGAAAGTTTACAAATTTGTGCTGGGCCACATACCAAGATGTCCTGGGCTGCATGTGGCCTGGGGATCATGGGTTGGACAAGCTCGCTGTAACATTTTACATTCAGAGCAATAATGTATAAGGGATCCAGTTTCTCTGCAACCTCAATAGCATTTAGTGTTGTCATCATTTTTTATTTTAGCTATTCTGAATGATACCTAAAGAAATACTTTTTGTGGAATAAACACTGATAATCAAGGCAAACAAGTAGAGGGATAAGTTTTGAGTTATTCTTTTCTTTATTTCCTTTCCTTTCCTTTTTTCACTCTCTAAAAATAAGTATATTGAACCAGCCTTGCATCCCAGGGATGAAGCCCAGTTGATCATGGTGGATAAGCTTTTTGATGTGCTGCTGGATTCGGTTTGCCAGTATTTTATTGAGGATTTTTGCATCAATGTTTATCAAGGATATTGGTCTAAAATTCTCTTTTTTGGTTGTGTCTCTGCCCGGCTTTGGTATCAGGATGATGCTGGCCTCATAAAATGAGTTAGGGAGGATTCCCTCTTTTTCTATTGATTGGAATAGTTTCAGAAGGAATGGTACCAGTTCCTCCTTGTACCTCTGGTAGAATTCGGATGTGAATCCATCTGGTCCTGGACTCTTTTTTGGTTGGTAAGCTATTGAATATTGCCACAATTTCAGATCCTGTTATTGGTCTATTCAGAGATTCAACTTCTCCCTGGTTTAGTCTTGGGAGAGTGTATGTGTCCAGAAATTTATCCATTTCTTCTAGATTTTCTAGTTTATTTGCGTAGAGGTGTTTGTAGTATTCCCTGATGGTAGTTTGCATTTCCGTGGGATCGGTGGTGATATCCCCTTTATCATTTTTTATTGCGTCTATTTGATTCTTCTCTCTTTTTTTCTTTATCAGTCTTGCTAGTGGTCTATCTATTTTGTTGATCCTTTCAAAAAACCAGCTCCTGGATTCATTAATTTTTTGAAGGGTTTTTTGTGTCTCTATTTCCTTCAGTTCTGCTCTGATATTAGTTATTTCTTGCCTTCTGCTAGCTTTTGAATGTGTTTGCTCTTGCTTTTCTAGTTCTTTTAATTGTGATGTTAGGGTGTCAATTTTGGATCTTTCATGCTTTCTCTTGTGGGCATTTAGTGCTATAAATTTCCCTCTACACACTGCTTTGAATGGGTCCCAGAGATTCTGGTATGTTGTGTCTTTGTTCTCGTTGGTTTCAAAGAACATCTTTATTTCTGCCTTCATTTCATTATGTACCCAGTAGTCATTCAGGAGCAGGTTGTTCAGTTTCCATGTAGTTGAGCGGTTTTGAGTGAGATTCTTAATCCTGAGTTCTAGTTTGATTGCACTGTGGACTGAGAGATAGTTTGTTATAATTTCTGTTCTTTTACATTTGCTGAAGAGAGCTTTACTTCCAAGTATGTGGTCAATTTTGGAATAGGTGTGGTGTGGTGCTGAAAAAAATGTATATTCTGTTGATTTGGGGTGGAGAGCTCTGTAGATGTCTATTAGGTCCACTTGGTGCAGAGCTGAGTTCAATTCCTGGATATCCTTGTTGACTTTCTGTCTCGTTGATCTGTCTAATGTTGACAGTGGGGTGTGAAAGTCTCCCATTTTTAATGTCTGGGAATCTAAGTCTCTTTGTAGGTCACTCAGGACTTGCTTTATGAATCTGGGTGCTCCTGTATTGGGTGCATATATATTTAGGATAGGAAGCTCTTCTTGTTGAATTGATCCCTTTACCATTATGTAATGGCCTTCTTTGTCTCTTTTGATCTTTGTTGGTTTAAAGTAAATGTAATCCAGCACATAAACAGAACCAAAGACAAAAACCACATGATTATCTCAATAGATGCAGAAAAGGCCTTTGACAAAATTCAACAACCATTCATGCTAAAAACTCTCAATAAATTAGGTATTGATGGGACATATTTCAAAATAATAAGAGCTATCTATGACAAACCCACAGCCAATATCATACTGAATGGGCAAAAACTGGAAGCATTCCCTTTGAAAACTGGCACAAGACAGGGATGCCCTCTCTCACCACTCCTATTCAACATAGTGTTGGAAGTTCTGGCCAGGGCAATTAGGCAGGAGAAGGAAATAAAGGGTATTCAATTAGGAAAAGAGGAAGTCAAATTGTCCCTGTTTGCAGATGACATGATTGTATATCTAGAAAACCCCATTGTCTCAGCCCAAAATCTCCTTAAGCTGATAAGCAACTTCAGCAAAGTCTCAGGATACAAAATCAATGTACAAAAATCACAAGATTCTTATACACCAACAACAGACAAACAGAGAGCCAAATCATGAGTGAACTCCCATTCACAATTGCTTCAAAGAGAATAAAATACCTAGGAATCCAACTTACAAGGGATGTGAAGGACCTCTTCAAGGAGAACTACAAACCACTGCTCAAGGAAATAAAAGAGGATACAAACAAATGGAAGAACATTCCATGCTCATGGGCAGGAAGAATCAATATTGTGAAAATGGCCATACTGCCCAAGGTAATTCACAGATTCAATGCCATCCCCATCAAGCTACCAATGACTTTCTTCACAGAATTGGAAAAAACTACTTTAAAGTTCATATGGAACCAAAAAAGAGCCTGCATCGCCAAGTCAATCCTAAGCCAAAAGAACAAAGCTGGAGGCATCACACTACCTGACTTCAAACTATACTACAAGGCTACAGTAACCAAAACAGCATGGTACTGGTACCAAAACAGAGATATAGATCAATGGAACAGAACAGAGCCCTCAGAAATAACACCGCATATCTACAACTATCTGATCTTTGACAAACCTGAGAAAAACAAGCAATGGGGAAAGGATTCCCTATTTAATAAATGGTGCTGGGAAAACTGGCTAGCCATATGTAGAAAGCTGAAATTGGATCCCTTCCTTACACCTTATACAAAAATCAATTCAAAATGGATTAAAGACTTAAATGTTAGACCTAAAACCATAAAAACCCTAGAAGAAAACCTAGGCAATACCATTCAGGACATAGGCATGGGCAAGGACTTCATGTCTAAAACAACAAAAGCAATGGCAACAAAAGCCAAAATTGACAAATGGGATCTAATTAAACTAAAGAGCTTCTGCACAGCAAAGGAAACTACCATCAGAGTGAACAGGCAACCTACAAAACGGGAGCAAATTTTTGCAACCTACTCGTCTGACGAAGGGCTAATATCCAGAATCTACAATGAACTCAAACAAATTTACAAGAAAAAAACAAACAACCCCATCAAAAAGTGGGCGAAGGACATGAACAGACAGTTCTCAAAAGAAGACATTTATGCAGCCAACAGACACATGAAAAAATGCTCACCATCACTGGCCATCAGAGAAATGCAAATCAAAACCACAATGAGATACCATCTCAGACCAGTTAGAATGGTGATCATTAAAAAGTCAGGAAACAACAGGTGCTAGAGAGGATGTGGAGAAATAGGAACATTTTTACACTGTTGGTGGGACTGTAAACTAGTTCAACCATTGTGGAAGTCAGTGTGGTGATTCCTCAGGGATCTAGAACTAGAAGTACCATTTGACCCAGCCATCCCATTACTGGGTATATACCCAAAGGACTATAAATCATGCTGCTATAAAGACACACGCACATGTATGTTTATTGCGGCATTATTCACAATAGCAAAGACTTGGCACCAACCCAAATGTCCAACAATGATGGACTGGATTAAGAAAATGTGGCACATATACACCATGGAATACTATGCAGCCATAAAAAATGATGAGTTCATGTCCTTTGTAGGGACATGGATGAAATTGGAAATCATCATTCTCAGTAAACTATTGCAAGAACAAAAAAACCAAACACCGCATATTCTCACTCATAGGTGGGAATTGAACAATGAGATCACATGGACACAGGAAGGGGAACATCACACTCTGGGGACTGTTGTGGGGTGGGGGGAGGGGGGAGGGATAGCACTGGGAGATATACCTAATGCTAGATGACGAGTTAGTGGGTGCAGCGCACCAGCATGGCACATGTATACATATGTAACTAACCTGCACATTGTTCACATGTACCCTAAAACTTAAAGTATAATAATAATAATAAATAAATAAATAAATAAATAAAAAGAAAAAAAATGAAGATCAAAATAGAAAAAAAAATAAGTATAAATCCATTCAAGTGTATGACTGGTGAAAAATCCTATATTATAAGGATGTCAGAATGCAACAAGCTTCACAGGGCTGATATGCAAGTAGCATAAATAAAGCTATAAATCAGGGGTCCCTGATCTCCGGTCTGTGGACCAGTACCAGTCTGTGGCCTGTTAGAAACTAGGCCGTGCACTAGGAGGTGAGCAGCGGGCAAGTTAGCACTACTGCTCCGCCTCCTGTCAGATCAGCTTTGGCATTAAATTCTCACTGGAGTCCAAACCTATTGTGAACGGCGCATGTGAGGGATCTAGATTGTGCGCTTCTTATGAGAATCTAATGCCGGATGATGTGAGGTGGAACAGTTTCATCCCAAAACCATCCCCCAATCTCACATACGTGGAAAAATTGTCTTCCACAAAACAGGCGTCTGGTGCCAAAAAGGTTGGGAACTGCTGCTATAAATGGAATATTTGAATTAGAAAACTAAATCTTGCATTTTATCCTTTTTAATTCACATATTCTCAAACATTTACTGAGAAACTTCTTAATAAAAGTCAGAGCACTATTGCTGAGGATAACAGATATGGAACCTACCTTCATAAAGTACATGAATAGAAAAAACACTTACCATTAATAAAACAAGTAGTGTACTTTAAAGGATAAACTGACAATCTTCTATAACCCTTATCACCACAGGTTTTCTGCTATTGTGAGTTATTTTGTAGTTCATAACTTTAATTGGAAGAGAGTAATTGAGTTTTATATCTTTCACTTAATATGATTTTATACGATTTTATAATATTTTATAATAAGATTTTATAAGATAATATAATCGCTACTTCATGCAGCGATTATATTATCTGTGAGTCTCCTCCTACTTAAATATTAAAGGCAATATCAGCTAGCAGATATGATAATCATTACCATAATAATAAACAGATTTTACAGTTGGGAGAAATCCCAGCCCAATAAACAAGCAAGCTTCAAGGACAAGTAAAAATTAAGGAATTATGACAATCTCACAGGGAATTTAAACGTATGTACAAGAAAAAAAAGCCCCATCAAAAAGTGGGCAAAGGATATGAATAGACACTTCTCAATAGAAGACATTTACACAGCCAACAAACATACGAAAAAAAGCTCAACATCACTGATCATCAGAGAGATACAAATCAAAACCGCAACGATATACCACCTCCTGTCAGTCACAATGGCAATTATTAAACAGTCAGGAAACAACAAATGGCTACAAGGCTGTGGAGAAATAGAAACGCTTTTATACTGTTGGTGGGAGTGTAAACTAGTTCAACCACTGCGGAAGACAGTATGGTGATTCCTCAAGGATCTAGAACTAGACATACCATTTGACCCACCAATCCCATTATTGGATGTGTACCCAAAGGAATATAAATCATTCTACTATAAAGACACATGCACATGTATGTTTATTGCAGCACTATTTACAATAGCAAAGACACGTAACCAACCCAAATGCCCATCAATGATAGACTGGATAAAGAAAATGTGATATATATACACCATAGAATACTATGCAGCCATAAAAAGGAATGAGATCATGTCCTTTGCAGGGACATGGATGAAGCTGGAAGCCATAATCCTCAGCAAACTAACACAGGAGCAGAGAACCAAACACCACATGTTCTCACTAATAAGTGGGAGTCGAACGTTGAGAACACATGGACACAGAGAGGGGAACAACACACACCAGGGCTTATTGAGGGGTGGAGGATGAGGAGAGAGAACTTAGAGGATGGGTTAATAGGTGCAGCAAACCAACATGGCACACATATACCTCTGTAACAAGCCTGCACATTCTGCACATATATCCCATTTTTTTAGAAGAAATAAAGAAAACAACTTAAGGTTTTATGATAATTTGAAATCATTTATGGTTATTGGAATTTATAGGAAATATAATATCCAAATGAGTAATATCTTAGTGCCTACAGGCAGATTAGTACTAGGCTAACCAACAATATAGTGAGAGATTCATAAAGTTCAATTAATTTTTTTAAATCAGAATTTTGCTTTGAGTTGATTTCTAAATACTCTACCTAGTATGTACTAATAGTGAGAGATCCTATCGGGGACAACTTAGGACCCTTCTCCTAGCTGAGCCTTAGAAATAATTATTCCTAATGATTGTAAAACATGAAAGAAACACAAATTAGTCAACAAAGACCATATATTTAGTTAAGTAATAATAAATATGCCAAATCTCAATAAGTATTAGAAGATCTATCTAGCTTGACAAAAGTGATATAGCAGAAACATTATCTTAAGACATAACTATTTTTACCATGAGTCTAGTTTAATTTGTTCTTATTTTTTAAATATAAACAATGTATGAAACATCTTCATATATGCATTTGAGAATAGATCACTTTTAAATTTTAGGAGCACTTCACAGATTAAATGGTTGCACTTGATAATCACATGTTTAACTCCAATACCCTCTCTGCTTCAGGAAGATTTCTCTGAGAGATCTGGACACTATTAAGATTATGTACAGAGGTTAAAATAAATAAGTACTGATGAAAAAAGTACTCGCATAATGCAATTGACAGAATTGGAAATTAACAGAACCACTATTTTATTATACCTCTTAGCAGCATTCGACACTGCTAATCCCATTCTTCTACGCAAATGTGGCTTCAGAGACACTCTCTTAAATATTTTTTCTGCTTCACCAGCCACTTCTGATTCTTCTTTAGTGGCTTCTCCTCCTCTATCTGGAATGCTTGAGAACTCTCACCCACATTTTCTTGCCTTCTCTTTCTACACTCTTTTTCCAAGGTTGTCATTAATTCCCAGAAAATGTGATGAAATTCTCAAATGCCTACATACAGCCTAGACCTCACCTGTGAGCTAAGGACTCACATGGGCAACTGTTAATTGGCATTTCTGCCTGGATGTTCCACACATGTCTGACACTTATGTCTAAATATGAACTATTGATTTTACTTTATGAGTCCATCATAATCCCCTTCGGTATTTCCATTTAATTAAATGGCAATACTACCCACCAGGTTCATCAAGTAATACATTTTTACTTGATTCAAAAATATCCCCTTTCTATCTCCACCCTTGTCCTAGCTGAGCTTTATAATATTTTTAATCACAAAAATGCATATGAGGTCCCTCACTTGCCTTCATCCTCAGTGTCACCACCGACCATCATCTTTCCTTGCCTAACATTCCCTTGCCAAAGATTTCCAGTGATTGCTCTATGTCTGAACTTGTCATTTCTAATCTATTTTGTTAATATATGAAACAGCTAGGAAACTCTTAAAACTGAAATCAGCCCCTGTCAATGCCCTGTTTAAAAACAAATATAATTTGACTTTTTAAAAAATTTGTGGTTTAACCATAGTGTAGGGCATTAGATGAGGTTAGAAAGGTAGGTGACCTGTCTTCAATCTGTCAGATGACCATGGAAGCCAGATTATCTGCCTTTCTAACCTCATCTAATGCCCTTCATCGCCACACCACATGCCTTTCAGTTCCTTGAACAGGAGTCTTTTTCCTGCCTGTATCTTTACACACACAGATTCTTCTTATTGCAGTGTTCTTCCCTTCACTCTTTACATATATTTCTGATATATTTTAATGTTCCAGTGTAAATTCCACATTCTCAGAAATGCCTTTCCTAATTGCACCACTTAATTAATACTCACCTAACCTACACTTTTCCCTTTCAGGAAACTCTTTTTGTTTCTTTAATAGCCCTTGTGTTAACTTTTAATAAGTTATTTGCTCATTTTCTTTGTTTCTATTTTGTTACCTTACTAGTCCATTATTTCCGCAAGAAAGCCGTTTGTTTTCTTGTTTCCCATTATACCCTCAAAACGTAGCTAGTTCTTGGAATATAATAGAACAAATATTTGTGGAAATGTAAATAAGTATTAGAAATATGCCCCATCAGAAGATTCATTTGGTTGTTGAAGTCAGTCTAAAAGGACCTAATTATAAATAATAAGAAATCTAGGCAATCGAGGATTCATCAGTCAGATAGCTGGGGTTAAGTAGCAATCCAGAAAGATGATCTAGTGGAATCAGAAGTATCTGGCACTACAAAGACTAGGCCTGGGAACTGAAGGTTAGGAATTAAACTGCAGTACATGTGAGTTCTAGTAAGTGCTAGATCCTAGTGTCATGCCTTAGGAACAAACTCCAAATTCAAGCCATACAAAGAATATACATGATTTTGGAGTCCATAGTTATAAGGAATCAGAAGACCACCCTGGTTTTAGAACTAGGTTTAGCAGAAAGAAATAGTAGCCTAATATGAGTTATTAAACATTTTATTTGGAGATTCCCAAATTCTTCTTAACTCTGGAGAGGATATTTCCTACTACTTAGAAGATGATACTTATGCACTAAATCTGTCTTTGTGGTTTTGTACAATACAGCCTATTCAAAGTACAGGCCTTGGGACCAAATCAACCTGATTTTTTCTTTAAAGTTAAACATGTAGAATCCATGAGATCTTGGACAAAAAATCTTTGAGACTTCCTGTACTTAACTTGTTAACGGTAAAGTTCAGATAAGATACTAGCTTCTTAGGGTTATTGTGAAGAATAAAGATTAGTATATACAAAAGGCTTTCCATGATACATAGCACATTGTCATCATTCAATAAATGCTGGGTAATATTATATTTTAGGCTCTTGCTTTGCGGATTGGGAAGCATGAGGATTGTGGGTGAGTTGGAGGGAAGCAAAAGAAACAGGTAGGTTTTTAGTAAGGCTGTGGCCTGACCCCTTTCCTCCTTTGTGCTCTCTCTCTCTCCACATTAGTAGGTGTACCCTGGCAATAAGTGTGTGTGAGAAGAAAGGAGATGTATTCTTACCTACTCTTGGAATGTGGTCTTTAGTCTTCCTAAAAATATTTAAGTGGAACTTTCAATATTTCACTCTAAGAAATTAATAGGGCTCTGTGAGAAGAAAGTCCAATCATGATCAAAATATGATTTAATGCATGAAGATACTGTACTTCACACTACTGCAGTTAAGTAGATTGCATGTTGGATATTTATTATTTCTACATTAGAAAAGGGTAAATAGCTTTTGACAGATAATTTTTTTATTGTTTAAAATCTTAATGAAAGTCAGTCACAAAAATGAAAACAAAACTAAGGACGAGTGAGTCTCAGTGTAGGGATGAAATGATTAGGCACAGGTCAGTTGTTCTATGGCATTCCACAATAGCCAGCATTTAGATTTTATAGTTCATGTCATTATCAGAAGGAAAACGAATATTCTTTCAGTTTCCAGGCTGTATAAGATAGTCTAAGTACAAGTAGGTAAATTCAGAATGAGTAATCAAACAGCATTAATTTAAGCGGTATAGACTTGGGGAGTCCCTTAATACACACATAAAGAAAATTTGGAAAAAGATGAAAATATTCTAGGCATGAAGGTCACTGCTGAACATTCATGAGCAAGCATAAATATCACTTACAGTGCTGCCAGTAGAAATGGCACTGGCTTGTCACCAAAAGAGCAAACAAAATTGCAATAGGATCAGGGAAAAAGAATCAAAGGATAAAGTCAACTGGAAAATTTTTCATGAACAGGTAAATGTAAATATATTTTTCTTTCTGAACATGAATCCCAGAGCACTATTCCCATTAAACATCCATCTTGATAACTGCCTATCAAATAGGGGTAAAAAGACAAGGCAGAAAGGGAGGGAGAGAGAGAGGCAGGGAGGAGGGATGGCAGGAAGGAAGGAAGGATGGCAGGCAGGCAGGAAAGAAGGAAGGAAGGAAGGAAGGAAGGAAAGGAGGGAGGGAGGGAGGGACGGAGGGAGGGAGAAAGAAAGGGGCTCACATCCTTAGAAGCAATTGAGGGGAACGTCTAAGGGGCTTTGACTTAGTTTAGCAGTGGCCTTTTGTTTAGCATCTCTTCCTTTCCCTGTGTGTTGCATCTCCCTCTGCATAACAAAGTACTAATGTTTTTCAGTGCTTATGTCAAACAACATCAGCCTAAAAAATTGCTGTAGAATTTTAAGCCTGATACTGGGCAATTTTCATAAAAGGAAGAAAATTCAATAATTTTAAGTCATATCCATTGATGGATTAGAGAAACTTAAATTTCATAATGCAGAAAAATTAGATGTTTACCAAACTATATCATTGTATGATGAATATCCAGTAAGTTGAATTGTGAGGAGAAAGGTGGACATTGAATTATGGTATGTTTTGTATAGAAACATTGAAAAGAGGTATACATTTATAATAGATATACAAAGGTCATGAATGAAAAATTACATATTTTTGATACGTCTGAATATTTCTGCTCTATTTCTTTCTCTAAAGGTTTTTGGAGGTATAACAATAAAATTTTAGTGCTTCAGGAACTGAAGGCAGAAATTTATGTGAGAATATTATTGGTGTTCTATCTACAACATGGTGAGCCATTAGTGCTACATTTGGGAAACTGGAATTTGTTACTTTAACTTACGTTTTACAGCAGGGTTTGTGGCATAAATTATGTATATTTATAATGCAATCATAAAAATAATATAGTATAAAATTAATAAGTATATAATAATATAGTATAATTAACTAATAATAAAAATAACAATTATAAAAACATATCTGTATGTAGTACAATTAGTTATAAAAGGATGGGAGGAGAGTATGTTAGTGGTAGGTATGTACATTGATGAAAATGAACACAAAAGGTTTTTTAAAAGTATTATAATATAAAAATGAAGATAAATATGTGTTTTAGAAAACATAAGTCAAATGATGTCTGTAAACTGAGGCAGTGTGGAAGAGTGGATGCTAGAATAGGTTGGTTGGGAGAGCAATGTGACCTTAGTTTAAATTCTGGAAAGTCACCTACCCTCTTTGAGCCTCAGATTCTTAATCTGTACATGGAGTTAATAATACCTTACCTAGTTATTACGAAGATCAGAAACAAGATGTGTAAGATGCCTTTTAAAAGAGTGACTCTGAAATCAAATGCTCACTAAACATTTGCCATTACTAATAAAGCTGTTGTAGCCAATCTATTAATTTGACATAACTTAATTTAGCAGCCTTCCAATTGTTGAATGGCCTGAAGAAATAATATGAATGTAAAGACCAGTGACATTCAGTAAAGCAAAAAAAATTAAAGAGTATCTTTGATATTTCAAAGCACTTTGAATTCAAATTTCAAATAAATGTCAAATATTTGAAAATTTTAAAATCTTAAATTCAGGGAAGTATCATTTTAAAACAAGATGGGGGATAGTTTTTAATCTTTGTCCCATAGTATATTACTCATGAAGAAACAGAGCTGAGTTTAGAACAGTCCTAACCACCATTTACTGAGTACTTTGAGGAATGTTAATTACTACACATGTATGATATATACACTTACCTGTTTAACACTATCACGTGACATCTAAAGTCCATCTGACACTTAATGTGGAGCCTCCTCCATACTACCCCCTTCAATCCCAGTTCTGCTCCCAGCCCCACCAAAACTACAGCTGCTTCATTTCAGCCAATGACCATTTTATCCTTATAGTAGCCTAGACCAAAAATTCTGTTCACCATAGACTCTTCCCTTCTTCTCACAAATGTCACTCAGTCCATCAGCAAATCCAGTTGCCCCTACCTTCAAACTTTATCTAGAATTCAACCAGTTCTCACTCCTACCCTACTTATACGATCTGACCTTCCAAATTCGCCCCTTCAGTCTACTCTCAGCTCTGTAGCCAGCAAGATCCTAATAGATTTGTACTTGAGATCAAGATTCTTTTCTGCTTAACCCTCCCAGTACTTCCTTTTTTACTCAGAACAATGCCCAAATACTTAGACAAATTTCCAGTCTTCCAATTACCTCTCTAAACTCATGCTCTCACTCAAATTGCTGCTCATTTCACTCCATTCACTCAGATGTTGCTGTTTCTTGAACACTTTAGACATACTTTTGCACCAGGAATTTTGTACCTGTTATTTCCCTGCCTGTAGCACTCTTTCTCCAGATAGATGTATGGCCCACTCCCTTAAATCTTTTCTTTCCAATAATCCCTTGTTGATGAATATATTTTAAGTTCACATGTTCTTTATATTCTTTATGCCACTTCCCTATTTTTCTCCTTCGTGCTTATTACTGTCTTGCATATAACATAGTTATTTTTACATTTTTTCCTCCCTCACAATGTAGTCTACATGAAGGCAGGAAAAATTCTCTATTTTGATGTCTGGGGTTTTCTTCAGTGTCTAGAAGAATGTCTGATACATAGTTGATGATGAATAAATAAGTATTTGCTGAATGAAAAATGCACTAATCATTTATTTATCTTAATAACCTTGTGAAGGGAAATATATTTATTTCACAAATGAGAAAACTGAAGGATAACTTATGTACCTTTTCTAAGATCCCATAACAAATAATGGAGGTCAGTCATTTAAAATACAACCTGGGCTTGAATGGCCCACTATCTGTGTCCACCCAGCATTCCTAATACACAAAACTTTATCCGATCAGAAAACATTGTTACCACCCAGTTGGTTGCAGTTCTTAAGTGTAGCTGCTATTTGATTGGACCGACATCTTGCTGTAATTAATTGTGGTTATGGTAGCAAGAGCAGATTCCACTTTGCACACATGGCCAAACAGCAGCCACTTTATGCAAAAACAAATATTGGAACAGTGATGAATGCTTTGGTCTTATACATATTTTTAGATGTGTTGTAGGAAAGCACTCTTAAGGATAAATAAAGCAGGGAGAAGGAATTCTGGTAATGTGTATCTAATATCTCTCCCACTATTGTAGGCGTGAGAGCAGTTGACTGGTGGGATGTGCTGTGCGGCAGGATGAAGTTCCCAGGCTCCTGAGAGCTGGAACTCACTCTCATCCCATGTGTCTCTGAAGCACTCAAACAAATTGCCTGGGTGGCTGCTCCACACTAGGTGGAGAAATTCCTTATCTTTTAGATCCCGTATTCTTTTCCCTCTCACTCTCAAATTAGTTCTTTATTAAGCAAAATAAGAAAAAAAATAGAACAAAAGAAATAATCTCTGCCCTTCTGTCTCTTTGTTTCTATTTCTCTTTCTCTGTCTATCTATCTCTATCTCTATCTCTATCTTTCCCTGGGCAAGAGGGTTCTTTGGTTAACAGCAAAGCTGTTTGTTTTCTTCCTCCTAGCCAGAATGGGGAAATTCCATACAGGGTTAGGGGTGGGGGTTGAGTATGAGCCCTTTCTCAGACCCTCATAATGTGTCAATTGACTTCATCTAATAAAGTAGACAAATAAAGATTAAGTTTTTATGTCAAAAAGGATTACATGTTCGTATATCACTACACCCCTCTGACATCAACCAACTTTGGATTCAATTGAGAGCTTTTTACTTATTAGGAACAAAACTATGACATGCATTAAGTAGTTAACATTCCTGGAAATGGAGGCTGGTAAAAGTGTGACCCAAGGACAAAATGTGTCTAAATGCAACATTCTCTCAATCAGTGTTCACTTCTCTGGATCATAAAATGTAATAGGTTTCTCAAGAATAGTCAATATATGTAGAGTACTTAAGCCTTTCGCAAATAATTATCATAAGTGAGAGACAGCCTTTGGAAAAAAATTGTTAGGGCCTTTTGATTTTGGTATTATGCTTATTTTTATATTAGGTTCTTGATATTGCTGTGTTTTAATAAAATAGTCTAATTACATGATAGCTACATGATAAATATTTTATGAGGTGGGTGAGGTCATGGTAAAAAAAAGAAATATGAAGAAATGAAGCCATACCAACAATATTTTGATGTATGTTGGAAGGCAAGTGGTGTTTTATGTTTCGTATATGGTAATAACTATTTTGCTATCACCCTATAAAATGTAAAATCTTTTTAAATCATCAAAACTGACTTATGAATGAATAATATAATTTAGGTTTTCCAGCAGAAAAATCATGCTACAATATTTACATACTGTCAAGATTCACTTTTATGATATAGTACAATAAAATTACCTTTTTCTAAAATAGCAGGTGATTAATTGAAGTTAGCATCTCATATTTATTTTTTCTTAGATACTCCAGATTAATATGGAATACCATTATGTTTCTGTTTAAACAAATAATGCTATTAGAATCATTGTCTTTATAAGCCCAATAAAATCTTATTATAGAACTAAAGTTGCCTTCTTAATATATGAATATACCAATATCGATAAAAATTAGCCCAATAACAACATTATTTAAAAACTAAATAAGTAGAAAAATGTAAGAAATCTTTGAAACTGTATTTGGAAAGGTTTACTATTATTCTATATTTTTCTGAGTTATTAAAAGCCTTTACTATTTAAATAAACCAATCTTTCTACAAAGTAAAGTGTCAACCTTTTCTAAATTAAAAAAAAATAATTCATTCCCAGGTTTGATCTGTGACTACTGGAGATCCTATCTATAATTAAGTTAAATTAAATTAAACTAAACTAATATTGAATGAGTATCTATTTACCGAACACTGCCGGCACTGGGGAAAACACATAGTTGAATATGACAAAGCCTTCCACATAGTAATAATAGAGCACCCATCCTATTTGGCTCAGCTCTTTGAAAAGTAAACATAAAGCCCATAAAATACAAGCACATAAGAAATTCAAGTTCACGACTGATTTATTGAACCCAGCTTTGAACCAGTTTGTCATAAGTCAAAACTTCCCATGCTTTTTGTCGCTATTTAGAACACCAGATTCACCTTCCTCTATAGTATCCTTGGATTTGAGCAAGCATTATTCATGCAAGCTTCACATCCCTGTAGACCTGTTAATGGGTATTCTCCTTGGCACTACCTAGAACTTTTCACACTGAGAGCTGCTCTTGGCCGCCCCTGAGACTCAGCATAGGCCTCCTGGAAAGCCAGGTCTTTGTACCCACCTGTTAGATGTGCTTTACGGAATACCTGCTTATTCATTTTATAACAAAGCAACAAAAAACGTTGAACTCCTTTTCCTATGTTTTTCTCTTTTATAATTTTTTCTTTACACATATGATTGTAATAGAGGTCTTTCATTCTAAAATAATTGCTTTTATAAGCTAATAGTCAACAGAGAGGAAAAATGAAAGAAACATTCCACAAGCTTAATTTTAGCCAACAGTTTAATATGTCCTCTCTCTCTCTCTGTCTCTCTCTCTCACTCTCTTTTTCTCATTAGAACTGAAAAATTAAGAAATAAGAGTTCCCTTTTCCCAGCTCTTTTCTGAAAGGCATGTTAAAAATAGTGGAAAGACAGAAAGTTAATGAAAGAAATAGATGAAACAAAAAGCTAAATTAATCCACCCATGAAATTACCCTTCCCCTGATAACAGAGATGACCATTTGGGTTTTGATTTTCAGGTATAATCTACTGTCCTGAGATACTGAGATTTAAAAATAGATGCCCTCCATTTTATTGAGGTCACTTAATTAACTAAAAAGGGCAAACGGAGTGTATAAATCCTGCGAAGCCCTTTCTTGCATTCTTTATTTCACTTGTGTTGAAATACTTTACTCAAAGGAATGAGAAATTATTTCATATTGTTTATATATCTACCTCAGATAATTTAAAAGATATTGAAATTCTTTATCTATTTTTTTAACCTGGGTATCAGCCTACATCAATTTTTTCAAAAGAACATAGGAAGAGTTCTATTTAACAAATCACTTAAAGTTTTGTCCTTGCAAGCATCTTTTTATTATAGGTTAATGAGGAAAAATGCTACTCCTTTCTCAGTTACAGCTTTTATGTTTGCAGACCATTTTTTACATGTTAATGTCTGTCCAAATAATTTGCATGCAGTTATGCTCTGACTCACTTTTTCCCTATAATTTTCTCCAATGTCATTATTAATTCTTTGGGAATTATTTTTATCTCTTGTATAAAAGGGTGGAAATGAAACACAAAAATATGATTTTTTTTCTTATTTTATTGGGAACTGTAATATTTTAGGATAAAAGATGTAAATTTAATGGGAAATAATATTGTAGTGTCTCATAATTTAAAGCTACACATTTCTCCCAGAAGAGCATTCAAAGGTCACATTTTAATCAGAATTGTTTTAGCTGGAAATTTTCATAACTAATAGAGGTAAATGGCTAGAGATATTTGAAGTATGATGTGCTATGTGAGTGCCACATAAAAACCAGAAAATGTACTCCATTTGCAAACATTTCTTGAGCACTGTTGATGGGACATAGTCTCTGAGACATCATAGTGAACAAGACAGAGGTGATCATGCCCACATGGAGATACAGTCTGGGGTGGAGCCATGTACTAAATTGATTTTACTAGCTGCTCAGTCTCACATAAACTTTGTCTTCTGATCTCTCAATATGTTGTGATGCACAATATACTGACATAGAAGCATGAAATAGTCAACATTTCTGTAGTATTTCCAAATTACACCCTGAAAGACCAACCACAAAAATCTTAAAAGTAAAAAGAGGCAAAAATTAAGATAGAGTTGAAGAAATAAGAGAAGTTGGTCTTACTGAGTTAAATCTTGATCTTGATTTAACAAGATAACCTCGTGAGTGCTCTTCCATGATAATGATTTTAAATCTTCATGAAATAATAAATCAGTGGAAAGTGACCTGTCCTGTCTATCCATAGCTTCATGGAAATGCTTCCTATCAGATTGCGGACCAATTCTGCTGAAGGGGAATAGGACAGTCTGAGAGCTTATGGTAGAATGTTCTTAATGACGAAACAAATCGGCCACCTGTGAATGAGAATTACCTGTAGACAGTAACTCATGAAATAACTGTTTAGCTAGATCATTTTAAAAGAACTTCCCAGAAAAGTGAAATTCTAATTACAGATGTATATAGAATTTGTGTCTGTGTTAATAAAACATAATTTATAATATCAAAGAAACAAATGAAGTATATATTTGCAGAATGATCAAGAAAACTTATTTTGGATTGAAGAAAGTAATTTTCTATCAATTCAATTCACACTTGTCTTGATTGAGAGAATTCGTATCTAAATCATACTGAATAATTACGCAGGTCATAATGTGGGGAAACCAAATACTTTACAGTCATGAGCTGCGTAATGATGTTTCCATCAAAGACAGACTGTATTTATGAGGATCAACCCATAAGATTATAATATTGTATTTTTACTGTACCTTTTCTATGTTTAAATATGTTGAGATACACAAATACCACTGTGTTACATTTGCCTACAGTGTTCAGCACAGTAACATGCCTTATGAGTTTGCAGCCTAGGAGCAATAGGCTATACCATAGAGCCTAAGTGTGTTATAGGCCATACAATCTAGGTCTGTGTAGAGTACATGCTATGATGTTCACACAGTGACAAAATCACCTAATGATGTACTTCTCAGAACATATTTCTATTGTTAAGTGACACATGGCAGTACATGAAAGAAGCAAGGCCAAAAGTAAACACCACTGTATTCCATCAATTATCCCATTGATTATATTAAATTGTAATTCAAGTAATTGACCTCCAATTGCCTTGCTTAGATGATTTTACATTTTTGTGGTCTTTATTTTTTAATTTTTAGGATTATATAACATTTGTACATATTTATGGGACCCACGTGATATTTTGATACAAGGAAACAATGTGTAATGATTACATTAGGGTAACCGAGATAGCCATCACCTCAAATATTTACCATTTCTTTGTGTCGGGAACATTCCAAATCAACTTACCTAGTAATTTTGAAATACAGAATAAATTATTTTTAACTACAGTCACATCATCTTGCTACTGAATATTAGATCTTATTCCTACTAACTGTATTTTTGTACCCATTAACCAACATTTTTCAAAACCAATCCCCACTACCCTTCCCAGCCTCTGGTAACCATCATTCTACTCTCTACCTCCATGAGAGCAATGTTTTTAGCTCCCAAACCTGGTAAAAACATGAGATAATTGTCTTTCTGTGCCTGGCTTATTTCAATTTCATTTAACATAATATCCTCCACTTCCATCCATGTTGTTGCAAATTCAATTCTACTTTATGGCTGAATAGTATTCATATATATCTCCCATGTTTTATTTATTCATTTATTTATTGATGTACACTTAGGTTAATGGAATATCTTGGCTATTATGAATAGTGCTGCAATAAACATGGCAGTGCAGAAATCTTTTTCATATACTGATTTCTTTTTTTTTTTTTTTGGAAATATACCCAACAGTGGGATTGGTAGATCACATGGTAGTTTTCACTTTTGATTTGTTGAGAAGCCTCCATAATGTTTTCCATAATGGCTATACTTATTTACATCCCACCAACATAGTACAGGGTTTCCCCTTTCTCCACATCCTCACTAGCATCCATTATTTTTGTCTTTTTGATAAAGGCCATTTTTACTGGGGTGAGGTGATATTTCTTGTGGTTTTGATTTGCACCTTCATGATGATCAGTGATGTTAAGCATTTTTCTTCATATACCTCTTGGCCATGTGCATGTCATCTTTTGAGAAATGTCTAGTCAGATCTTTTGCCCATTTTAAAATCAGATTATTGATTTATTTTTGCTCTTGAGTTGAGTTCCTTAGATATTCTAGTTACTAATTTCTTGTCAGGTAATAGCTTGCAAATATTTTCTCCCATTCTGTACGTTACCTCTTCATTTTTTGTTTCTTTTGTTGTGCAGAAGCTTTTTAGCTTGATGTGATTCCATTTGTCCATTTCTGCTCTGGTTGCTTGGGCTTTTGAGGTCTTGCTCAAGAAATCTTTGCCTAGACTAATTTTGATAACAGCTTATTATTATATAATTTTTACTTACATAATAGGAGACAACTACTTTGAGGAGAATTAAACAATACATTTTCTTTCCCTTTCTGGTGTAATGCCTTTCCATCAAACTGTGTCATGAACATCACTGTGATCTGTTCAACTGGTAAGTATTAAGTCAAACTATTTGCCTAATGTTAGTAAGTGCTGTGCTACCTTGGACTCCTCCTCTCATCTTTATTCATAATTTAAGGTAATCCATAAGTTATTCTCATCTTACAATTAGTTATTTACTAAAAGTCATAAATAATAGGTAATATTCTGGCCTAATAATTAAAATGAAGAGAAAAGCATTCATTCATTTCTTAAGCAAATATGTACTGTATGACTACTGCATATCCAGGCAGTATTCCAGAAGAGGCTATAAAAGAAAAAAAAAAAAAAAGCAGACGAAAGCCATACCCTCAAAGGGTTATATTTTAGTTTGGAAGGGACATTTTGTATGTAATAAATATAGTTAAAATGACTTAGAATAAAGCAGGAAAACGAGAATAGGGACACTTCCACAGAGGACTGTGGCTACATTGGGGCCTGACACAGCAGCACACTTGGAGTTTGGGAGGAAGAGCCACTCCCAGCAGAGGAGGCCAGTGTGAGAAAAGGTGAATATAGAATGAGGTTAAGTTACAGAGGGAGCAGAGTTGAGTAGATGGTAAAAAGAAGGAAAAACTTCAGCTTGTATTCTGAATGAGAAGCTGAATGTTTGGAGTGTTTTGAGAGATAAGTGACATATTTGCCCTATATTGCTTTAAGCTACACAAAACTTTTATAATAATTTAAAACGTTTTCAGAAATGCTTTATTCTAAATTGTAAGTGAAGTTTATAATGAAGAGTAGTATACATAGGGAAAAGTTCAGGAATCATAAATTTGCAGCTTAATTCATTTTGGCATAGTGCATAGCTTCGTCATCATCACCCAGATCAAGAGAGAATATTAAGGCAATGCAGAGCAAGCCCAAGTGACTGGGGAGGCCCCATTCCTCTCCCAGTCACTACCTTCTTCCTTCCTCCCCAAAGGTAACCAGTATCTTTATTTCTTTCATTGTAGATTAATTATGCCTATTTTAGAATTTTATAGAAAATGAAACCATACAGCATGTGCTCTTTCATGTCTGACATTCTGCTAAGCATTATGTTTGTAAAAATTTATTCATGCTTTTGCATATAATAATCATCTGTTGTTTCTCTTTGCTCCAAAAAGATACATAGCAAAAAAAAAAAAAAAGCCACCATTCGTTTATCTTTTCTATTGTTGATGGACATTTAGGTTGGCACTCTTTTGGGCTATGGATATTGTACATGTCCTTTGGTGCATATATTTTCACTCATAAACAGATCATAGAATATCTTTTCAGCTTTAGTCGGTACTGTCAGAAGTTTTCCAGAGTGGTCATACTAACTTATACACCCATCAGGTGTGTATGAACATATACTTTTTCAAACAATGCTTGGTATTATCCTCGTATTAGTTTATTACGGCTGCCACAACAAAGTACCTCAGACTTGGTGGCTTAAATAACAGAAGCTATTTTACAGTTTTGGATGCTAGAAGTGCAAGGTCAAGGTGTTGGCAGGATTGTCACTTCTGAAGCTTCTCTTGGTGGCTTGTAGACGGCCATCTTCTCTCCCTGTCTTTACATGGTCTTTCCTCGGTATTGTCTGTGTCCTAATCTCCTCTTCCGTAAGCACAGCAATCATAGTGGATTAGTATCTACTCCAGTGACTTTATTTAAACTTAATTATGCCTTTAAGATCTTTTCTAGAAATGCAATCACATTCTGAGATATTGGGGGTTAGGTATTCACATATGAATTTTTAGGAGATCACAATTCAGCCCATAACAGACATCTTTGAAATTTCAGCCAACCTGTTGGAAATTATTCCTTTAAGGTTTTCATTTATATTTAACTGCTGACTACTGAGGTTGATTACCTCTTTACATATTTAGTCCTTTAGATAACCTTTTTTTTTTTTTTTTAGACAAGCTTAATCTATTGTCCAGGCTGAAGTGCAGTGACATAATCTTGGATTACTGCAACCGCTGCCTCCCGAGTTCAAGGGATCCTCCCATCTTAGCCTCATGAGTAGCTGGGATTACAGGTGTGCACCACCACACCTGGGTAATTTTTTTGTATTTTTTTGTAGAGACAGGGTTTCACCATGTTGGCCAGGCTGATCTCGAACTCCTGACCTCAGATGATCCGCTTACCTTGGCCTCCCAAAGTGCTGGGATTACAGGTGTGAGCCACCATGCCTGGCTTAGATAACCCTTTTTTAAAAAGTGCATGTGCTTAATTACTTTGTCCATTTTTCTATTTTATTTTCTTTGTTTTTAATTGATTTTAGGAGTTTAAAAATATTTTCTGCACGCAAATCCTTTGTCAGATTATGATTACACACCTTTTCATCAATCCTCTGGCTTATATTTCACTTTCTGAATAGAATCTATTGACAAATGAATGTTTTTAATTTTAATGTAGTCCAATTTTTCAATCTCTTTTAAGGTTAATAGTTACTTTATCCTATGTAAGAAATCTCTGACTATTCCCCAAGTCCTGAAATGTTTTCTATAAGAAACTTAACTGCTTTACATTTCACATATAGGTTCATAATCCAATTATAACTGATTTTAGTACATAGTTGTAGTTATAGTCTAGTCATATGTTTTTCAATATTATATCTAATCATTTGGCACCATGTGTTAAAAAGATGATCTTTTTCTCACTGCACTGCAGTAATTGTTTTGACAGTTCAATGACTGTGAACATGTGGGTCTCTTTCTGCAATTTTTTTCTGTTCCATTGGTCAGTGTTTTCATCCTTGGGCTAATGCTACACTGTCTTAAATTTTGTAACTTTAAAATTCTTTGAATACATTTAATTTTGTCTTATAGTCATTTTGTCTAGAAAAATGAAAACAATTTTCACATATTCATGGACCTTTTCATGTTATGAGCTCAAGAATGTAGCATAAAACTGGCAGCACACTTTGCATGTGACTGATGGATTTGGAAACATCATTATTTATGTAATTTAGAACTTTATATTTTTAAGGTTATTTGTAAGTATGCATCCTGGGTTTCTCATTATGATGTTCCAACAAGGTAATTGGGTATTATTTGTTCCATTTTATATCCAAGGAAACCAAAGCTAATTGCCTCACCTAGTGTGAGATAAATCATTATTTAAAATTAGAATTCACAGTCCCTGTCTTCTCTTTCTGTTGGTTAACCAGTGAGGCAAGATGCCATTTTAAGTCATTAGTCTTCTTTAAGAAAACAGAACGCTGTGTTCCTGAAATCAAATGTTGTTTACAGACTCCCATTAACTCTTAATTTATAGCCTACAAAACTCAAAATTTCCTTGCTAAACAGCATGTGCTTGGATGAGTCATAATTAATGACATAACTTATTCAGTTATATCTTAGTAATTTAAGTTAATTGAGTCAAATAACAATGTATCACTGGACCTGAATGTAGAAGATTTCAGATTCCGCCTTTGCTGCCTCTTTTCAATTACCAAATCACACTAATCACCATTACTGTCCAAACTGACATCTGTATCTTCCAGAGTATTTCTCTAACTGCCAGGATTTTGGTTCAGTGGTTTTATTTGCATTCTTATCCATGCCCCAGAAGTAGATATATTCTCTGTTTTGAACCCTCTGGATGTGAAATATGTCTTCATCCAACTTTGCCTCATGCTAGTGTCAGCCTTATTCTAAGCTGTTTCTCCTCAACATTAATTATATAGCTTCTGCATTTATTTGGCCTCTAAAGGTATTCTAAGCTGTGTATGTATTTAGTGGATCTTAAAAGAGACAAATAATTAGGCCAAAGAACTTGCTTCCACTTATGGTTTTTTGTTCATCCCACAAGCTTACAATCAAGCACACCTGGGATATTTATGAATAAATTGTAGAGTTTTAGTTTATGTAATAAGTATCTACACATATATGTGCATATATACACACTATATGATACACACACACACACACACACATATATATATAGAGAGAGAGAAAGAGCAAGTCTAATAGTTTTGGCGTTTTGTAGCTCATATTGATCAGTTATTTAGGAATTTACTTTCATTTATTCAACATGTTTTTATTTAGCACTTATTTTTTCAGCCTCAGTATTATTTTTCTCAGTCTCAGAATTTTTTTTTAATTTTTGGCTTAAAAGGATGAAATGACTTAAATATTTGAATACTGCTGTGATATGGCCCTGGCCCTGTCAATCATAACCTTTTCATTTATTAATTGACTTTATGCTTCTTCATTACCTGTGACTTCAAGCCTTATTTTTTCTTTTGCATTTAGGTTTGGACAAAAACAGTAACACACTTAACAGCTTAGAAAAAGATGTAAAGGCTCTGGGAAACTCTTCCCAAAAGGAATCCAAGCTTTTCTCATAATAAAAGTGTAGCATGTAGCTTATCGCTGTTATTTAGTCTTTTAAATTTTGAAGTTAAAAATTTCATTTAAATTTGTATTCAGTAGCATTGGAAATTCATAACTGCTCATTCTAAGATGTTCCTGGCCAAAGAAACCTGTCTACTTAAATAAATTTTACTATAGTGAAATTTAAAAGTCATATTGGAATCAACTGACATATTGTGATGGTCAATAAAGTGAATAAATAATGCTGTGAGTATGAAGCTCATTGATATAAACAAGTAGACATATTTTGACTGTGAAGTGTTATAGCAAATTCTTAGAATTTTATGTTGCCTTGGCATTTATTTAGAATATAAGTTTAACTTTTTTATACTAGAAGCGGGACTTGGTCCCCCATGACACAGTTTCTAGCTCTATGTCTCCTCCCAGTTCCTCAATGTGGTCCATCCAGATATAGGCCTGTAATGGGAACAACATAAAAAAGGTTGTTGCCTAGACATTAGAAATAGAACACCACACCCAAATAGCGAAAGCCAGTGGCCAGAGATAAGAACTTAGGGGCACCTTTTCTGCCCAGCATACTGGGCTTCCCACTTTTCTGATGCTTTCTTTAAATAGATCATTCTGATATGTGGCCCTGAAGTTAAAGTGATCCACTTCCTATTCCCCAATATATACTGCTAGCTGTATATGGGCTCTCTCTCTCAGCTAGATTCTTCATTCCTGCCTACCCCTGACCAAAGGACAGAGAGCTGCCCACCTAACTCATTGTTCCCATCCTGCTCAGAATCTGTAGGTAACATATCTTTGGACTGATTTCAAATTATGGTGGTGTACTGAATTTGAACCTCTCACCTGGAGAACCAGGGGCTACCATAGGTTGAATTTTCTCCCGGATGCCAAGGAGAACACAAGGGCAGTCTCCTCAAACCAGAGGAATGGTCAGACAGGTATAAACTGGACATAGGTCAGATAAGAACCACAAAGGTGTCTGCCAATGTTAATAAATTTCCTGTGTGAAAAACACATGGTCAAATGTCAGAAAACTAGGTATTAGACCATCCACCAGATAAAAAGACTACCCTGTGAAAGGCAAGCTGTAAGCACACATGCCTTGAGGCATGTGTTTCCCATCAGGGCAAAGTTGCTAGCTGCCCTGGTACTGGAATTCCAATTTAGCTTAAGGCTCTGAAGACAGATATACATTGTCATTATTTGAAATACGATGTTTCTATAAAGGAGGACAAAAGATTGATTTCATGACATGTTTTTCTATTCATTGGACTTGCACCAACCACACACACACAAACACACACACACACACACACACGCACACACATATTACTGGCTGAGAAAGGATTTCAATTCATTTGTTGATAAATAAGAAGTGTTTTCAAAATTTTTGTTTTAAAATCTACCCACTATCTAGATTTCCTCATTTCTACATGGAATCAGGCTTTTTGATGATATTTAAGTCTGAAACCATGACTTTTCAATCATTATTTCATATCTGAAAAATCTAATCACTGCCTAGAAGACTCAGTCAAGTCATTTGAAAATTTCTCTCATTTTGTAGTTAAACCTCTTTCTTCATATCACAAGAATGTTCTGCCACATGGCCTCTGTCTTTTTTCCCAGCAAATATTGTTAGTGTATATCTTAGAAAAGGGGTATTTTTTTTTTTTTTTTACTAAACTGCCCAGGGAGAGGTTCCTGTTCTTTATCTGATTAGCCGTAACTGCTTGTCAATGGGGTTGGGTTTCTGGGAAGTAGAATCAGATGAGTATAGCTTCTAATACATTTATCTGAAAAAACTCTTGGAGAAGGAAGCCTACCTGGGCAAAACAGGAATTTGAGATACAGTGTGGGCCTGGGAACAGCTATTGCATACTCGCTCAAGAGCTCTGGACCTAAAATGGGCTTTGAGAATTGTTCTGAATTATTTCGTCCTCTGCTCTCTCAGTCATTGGATGCTAGCCATGACCTTTGGTGAGGTGGTTCTCTGTACCTGAGGCAATCCCTCTAGAAGCTGACAGTTCAAGGCTGTGTGCAAATAGCAATGGCCAGAAGCTATGGCAATAAGTCCTTCCTTGAAGACAGAAAACTGGATGACCCAACACCATGTCCACCACACTGCCTTTGTTGGGAATGATGTGAAAAGATGGTGACTGCAATAGGATCCACAGCTTGGAGGGTTTTCTCTCAAACAGCTCCTCTAGATACTATTGTCCTTTAAAAGATTTGACCACATTTTTCTCAGCTAACTTCAAGGTGGCTTATAGCCAAAGTCCTCAAGCAACATTTCTTGATTGTCATACTTCTTTGAGACTAACACTGGAGATCCTCTAGATCTGGATCCGATAGGCACATTTAAATTCAAATCTCCATGCTTCCTGGTATCAAAAACTCAGGCAAAGAGTGGTAATACCAACTTACACCATATGCTATTTCATTTCTAGCATTATGAGCAATTTCTGTGAGGTATCTCTTCCCTCTTTTTATGAATACTCCACTGTCTCTACAAGTAACCTCTTTTTCTCTCTTAGTTATCTCATCTTATCTGGGAGGGTAGAGAAAAATAAAGGAATACTGGCTCTGTTGAAATGGCAGCCCTAAGTAAGGCCATACAAACATGTATCTGGACCTCTCTGAACTTAAAATCGAATGTAGTAAGAAACATTTCCTGTCAATAGAGGTCTTAAGAGAAATTCCCATATTTAATAACAAGTGTAATTCTATTACACATTTTTATTTCCATGGCTGCCTCAGCATGTAGGAGACTAATAGGCTAGAGATTAACTGTTCTAATTTAGCAAAGCTACCACTTTATAGAGATGTTTTTATTCATTATTGAATCCAGTTATATCCTATGAGGGTCCATAATTAATAACCATATATTTAAAATATCAAATGTACTATTTTTATATATTTTAATTTTTAATAAAATTGAAACCACATAGACATTTTAAAGTATGTTAATATGTATTTATATGTTTTTCCATAAATGTTTATCTGTATTTTCTTTAAATTTATTTTGTTGGTTCTGAAGTATATGTGTATTATTTTAGAATATTGGAAAGTATTTTATATCTCCTTGATTTCCCCTCATAATTTCTAGAGCTCAGCTAGCTATCTGTGGGTCCACAATACATAAAAATGACTAAATTACGACTTTCTCAAAGTCATGACTTTTAGATGTCCTTCCCTGTAAACTCAAGTCAAATTAAGCAGATGTAGCATTGACAGTGAATCCTTAGTTTGTCATGTTAGTAAAAACAAATTTGGTGATTTGAAATTAAAATATGCCAATGGTTTTGATACACTTGTCTTAAGATATTAATGAAACACTTCAAAATACCGATACTAAGTGTCCAAATTCTCAGATGTCTATTGCAGAGTTTTGTTTCAATGTGTTTGAATTTTTTTCTCAGTGATGATGTGAAACAATGTGAGGTATGAACTACACAAGAACAGAGACAGAATAATATAAGTAAGAGGTAAAAATACTGGAAGCTCCCTCATATAGAGCAGAGAATAGAACCTGTTCCCAATAGTCACAGTAGTATACCTCATAATTTTCAGGGTAGTGAAGAAACTTTTCAAAATGTTTTTGCCTTAATAATGAGAAGAATTAAACCCAGACTAAGTGATGCTCTGGTCCTTCCTGCAAAATCTTTAAAAGCAAGATCTGAAAGACCATCAGAATTGGTAACTATGTGAATAGATAAAATACTGTATATGATTATGTAAATCTTTTCAAAAGTTACTTGACTATTAAATGCAAAAACAACTCATAAATGTGTGTGTGTGTGTGTTTTGTGTGTGTGTGTGTGTGTGTGTGTGTGTGTGTGTAAAACAGTATGGCACCAATATCCCAAGGACTGAAAGGGGAGAAATACAAGTATAATACAGTGTGCTTTTATACCGTATATGAAAACATATACTATTACTTGAAGGTAGACTATGATAAGTTTCAGATGTACACTATAAACCTTTAAGCTATCACTAAAAGTACAACTCAGAGATATATCTAATAAGCCAACAAAAATCTAAAGTGGAATTTTAAAAAATACTTAATGTGAAAGGAGGTATAAAAAGAGCAAAAATGACGAAAAGAACAAGTAGAATAAATTGAAAATAAATAGCAAAATGATAGCCAAAGCAAACCATATATAAACTAGCATTGAATGTAAATTAGAAGACTGATTATCAGATTAGATTTTAAAAATCAAGATCCACAATATTTTAAAAAATATAAATATGTTAAAAATTAAAGAGGTGGAACATAATATGTAATGATAACCTTAATTTTTAAAATTTGGAGTGGTTAATTTTAATATCAAACAAAGTCGATGTCAGAGAAAACAATATTAAAAGGGATGATAAGAGCTAATAAATTGTAATGAAAGAGCTCGTTCATTAAGAGAAAATAACTATCTAAAACTTTATGTACCTAATAACAGCTTCAAAATATATGAAGCAATAATCTATAAAACTTCAAGGAGAAATAGACAAATCCATAGCTATACTTAAATATTTCATCACATTTTTCTTAATATTTGATAGAAATGTTAACGAAAAACTATATAGAAGACTTGAACACATTGTTAACAAAATTGACCTAATCGACATATATGGAATACTCCACTCAACAACAGCAGAATAAATATTATTTACAAGTGTACATGTAATATTTGCCAAGATACACCAAGCTGTGGGCCAGAAACAAGTAAAAATAATTGAAAGTGATTTACATCATGCAAAATATGTCCTTTGATCACCGTGGAACAACAGAAAGATACCTGAAAAGTCCCCAATTATTTGAAACTAAATAACACATTTCTAAACAACTCATGGATCAAAAAAGAAAAAAGACACTTTAGAAAATATATTTTACTAAATAAAAATGTCATTAAAACATATTTTAAAATTTGTAAGATGCAACTAAAATATCACCTATAGGAAAATATGTAACGTTACATGCCTATTTAATACAACAGAAGAAATAACTCAAGTCAATAATTTTGTTTTCCACCTTAAAATCTGCGTAAAAAGCAAATAAAACTCAAAGTAGACAAAGAAAAAATAAACATCAGAGCGAAAAATCAATGAAAAGTAGACCAAAAAGTAGAGAAAAAAAAACGGAACCAAAAGTTAGTTCCTTGTGAAGATCAGTGAAATGTATAAGCCAGTGAAACTATTCAGATGCAAGAGAAAAGAGAGAGAATATACAAATTCCAATATCAGGAATGAGAATAATGACACCTTTACAAATTTTTCAAATACTAAAATGATAATATAAAATATTAACAACTTTATGCCAATGAGCTTAACAATTTAAAAAAGACTAAATCCTTGAAAGACACAAACCATTAAAGTTATTTAATAAGACATAGAAAACTATCTCTATATATATTAAAGCAATTGAAATTTATTTTTAATTCCACAAAGAAAACTCTAGGTCATAATGGCTTCACTGGAAAGTCTAACAGACATTTAAGGAAGAACAGTAGGTAAAATTTCTCCCCAAATTAAAGAGGATCAATCATATTTAATGACATTTTATAAGGCCAACATTACTCGAAAAACAAAAGCAAATACAAACCTGAAAAACTATACTTTTATTGCCTATAATGATAATCTCTAATGAACATGGATCAAAAGGTTAACAAATTCTTAACAAATCAAATCTGACAATATATTAAAAAGGATGATATATTATAACCAAGCAGAGTTTAATCGTAGAAACGCGTTTGGTTTAATATATATAATATAATATATTTTAAAAATTGATCGATGTAATTTACCTTATGAACAGACTAAAAGCAAGAACGTTATATGATGATCTCAGTAGACACAGAAAAATCATTTGATACTATGTATATACACTTCTTCTAAAAACTATGAGAAAACCAGAAACGGAAGGGAACTCCCATTAGCATAACAAGGACAATTGCAAATAGGTTACAGCTAACGTCATATTTAATGGTGAAAGATTGAATGCATTCTCCCTAAGATCAAAAACAAAGCAAGAATGCCATTGTTTACTTCTTCTGTGTAAGCTTTTTCCATTGGATATTCTAGCCAGTGCAATAGGCAAGAAAAGGAAGAAAAGCAATCCAACCTAAAAGTAAAGGAATTAGATGGCCTTTACTTGCAGATGACATAATCGTCTACATAGAAAACCAAATCAAACTTACATATAAGCTATTTGAACTAAAAAGTGAGTTTAGCAATGCTGTGGGATATATAATATCAATATTAACAAACTCATTTGTGTTTATATATACCAGCAATAAGCATAAATTGAAAATTTTTAAATGCATCAAAATATCTATCTTAAAAACTATCTAGAATTTATGAAAAAATCTGATTAATGGTATGTGAAGGACCTAAACACTTAAAACTACACAAAATTGCCAAGAGAAATAAGTATTAAAAAACAGAAGTAAACAATTTTCTTAGATCAGAAAACCTAATATTTTTCAGATGTCAGTTCCCCCAACATTGATCCACAGATTCAATACACAACTGACTCAATCTCAGTAACAGTTCCAGAAAGATTTGTAAGGAAAATGTCCTAGATAATTATAGAACTCATATAAAAATGCAAAAAATTATACAATAATCCAAACAACTTTGGAAATAAAGGAAGCAGTTATAGAAATTACACTACTTGACTTCAAGACATTAAAGTGACATTAAGCCAAACAGTGCAGTATTGGTATGAAGACTGACAAATAGAGCAATGAAACAAATAAAGAATTAGTAAATAGTGCCAAATATGTGTAATGAACTGATTTTTCACCATTACAAATGCAATTTAATTCAGAAAACAGACATTTAAAAAAATTATGCTGGAACAATTGGATATCCATATGAAAAAATAAATAAAAACTCCGATTCATACTTTGTAATATTTAATAAAGTTTACTCAAAATTATTTATAGTCCTAAAGATTTATTTTAAAATTATAAAACTTCTAGAAGAAAACCAAGGAGGAAATCTTTGTTACCTTGGGTTAGCCCAAGATTTCTTGGAAATAACACTAAAAGCACAATCCATTAAAAAAATGTACATCCTTCTTTGTGAAGTGTCTGTTTTTGTGAAATATATTTTACCATTGTATCACAGGGTTGCTTGATTCTCTAACATTGCTCTCTTTCTTCTTGTTCACTTCCTTCTTCACTGTCTATCCTCTGTTCCTGTTCTAATCAAATAGAGGTGAGTGGCGAGTAGAGTTAATGTGGTTCTTACTGGAGAGAGTGGTTCCATATAATCTGAAGTTACAAAGTCGTTAACTTTGAATTTACTGATTGTGTCCTCATTTCTTTTGGAGAGTTCTTAGGTGAATCCCATAGGCAGAACTTTTACCTCTTGACAATGTTTTCTATTACTCTGACTCACAGGAGTAACTTCAGGCCCCGGTTCATTGATGTTCAATTCCACATCAATGTTCCACAATGAATCTATACTACTGGATTTCCTTCAATCTCTTTGGTGATCCTATTGAAAGAAAAATTTAAGTGGTTCTAGATTTACTTGATTTTCTATATAGGACAGTTATGTTGCCTGGGAAACATTCATATGTTACTTGATCCAAGAAAATCATGGAAGTTTAGCCTGATCCTAACATAATCACCTCTATCTTACTGCCTCAGGACATACTTTAGCTGTTTTTTTTCCTTGTGATTGAGTCTGGCCTCAGACTTCTTTTCCTCTCAACTGCAACAAATCCATTTCAAGGTCTCTGAGTGGTCCCATAAAGGCCCCTTCATTAGACTTTAGGCGAAGGAGGTGTTGACACCCACCTCTTTCAAGAAAATGCATAACACGGCAACAACTCTTTAAATAAATATCTGTACGAATTCAACTTTTTCTCTCCATGCTGTCACGATTATTTGATATTTTCAAAATGAGTAATGGAATTCATGAGTCATGGAACTGATTTTGAAACTTCAAACATTTATTTTATAAATTATCCATATGAAGATGTAAATTTAGATTTTCTTATCCTTTTTTGTATGCTGTTTTTGACAACTTTTTATTTTAATGATTCTGTTTCATGCAAAATTTAGATTCTGAATCTGATTGCTTATGTCAAAAAATAGCAATTCTGAAAAGGCACAGTGTTCCAAATGTTACAGTATAGTGTCATAAGATCCACAGTATGACTTTCTGAGTTAGTAATACATGCTTGACCACCAGATGGGTAAGTTAGATAATGTACTTAGCTCAAATTATCTCCTTGCAATATGATATTATGCCATGAGATGATATCAAAGATCCCCTCCAGTTCTACCATTTTATATTTCCATATAAATAATAATATTTTTAATCACAAGAAGAGTAAGTACTATGTTAGGAAGCAAAAACGGTTATAATAATACTAAATAATACTAAAAAAAATAACGATAGTGAAAATGTTCTCCCTTACTTCCACTAACTGGATTTATAGTAACAATAAAGAATTTGTAGTTAATGTATGTTAATATCCTAAATATGCCTCTTTTTAACCATTTGTGAATTGACAATCCTTGGTAATTTATCCTGTTTCTATTGAAAGCTTATACCTTCAGAAGTCTCCCCATCTTAGTAAATTCTAAATCTACTCTGGTCATCTGTCACACGTAAACAGAACTTGTCTATCATTCTCTTTTACCTTTCTTCAACTCTGGTCACCTCCATATCTGAGGCCATGCTAGGGGATTCTCTCCCCTCTCACTAAGGTGTTTACTATTAGGCATCACTGTCATTGCCTCCCTCTGGGTAACACCATTGCTGCTGTCAATATCCACAAGCATTTGTGTTTTTTGAAGACCTTAGTCTGATAAAGTCAATTTGTGAACCTTATAGTAGCTGGCAGTTTTCCTTTCTCTGCTTGAGTGTTGTTTATCTCCTCAGGGAAGCCAAAAGCCTTTGTGCTTATACTGCAATATGTTGCAAAAACTTTTGTGAAATAAATCTTGTGGCCTTTATCTACAGTTACTGTCACTTCTGCCTACCACATGCACACACACACACACACACACATGCATCATTTCTCCTTGTCTTTTGTGAAGAATGTAGGAATGGATGTATCAATAGTAAACAAAAATTAATTATTGTGATAAGTGAATGATAATTTTTACTTGGAATCTAGCCAGATTGTGTGGAAAGAGAAACAAGAGCAAGGATAGGCACATGAATAGCAAGAATTCATGAGTGTGTAATGTGTGTACTGTAGTGCCTCAGAGATACGTTTATTGTGCTAGAATGTGCTGTACTTAAGGGATATGCCATTTAAGAACTAAATCAAGAAGAAATTGTCTTACAATAATGTGGTCTGTATTCACCAAAGCTAAACAAATGAGGGGAACTGCAAGTTATTCAATACGTGTATTATTTGATAAACATTTTTTGACAACCTACAGTATGGAAGGCACCATATCACAGTGGCTGTAAAAGAAGTGGCTACTTTTTTCACACCAGGAGAAAGCGAAAAATATTGAACTTGTCAGCGTTTGAGTTTTTAAATATACCACCTCTAATAGTTTGCGCTTGTGTTCTTTAGTGTAATCTTGGCCCAGTGCCTGAGGACTTTGGAAGAATCACCCATTCCCTATGAGAAAGTGAGTCAGAAGACACATTTGAGTTACAAACACCTTACTAAATTCTGATTATCCCCTGACTCTAATGACTAATGTTTTGTTACTAGATCAAACTTGTCTGCTTTTCTTTCTTCCCATAGCGTAAATAGATTCCCAAGAGACTTCTAAGTTCTTGATACAAACAGACTTTGACTCAATTTGACAGACTTTCCCAGATATGCACAAATACTAATATTCGATTGAGTTGACATGCAAATTGGGCTATAAGCAACAATCTACATGTGTCTAGATAAATTATTCAAACTGTTTGTGCCTCTCATTTTTCACTTGTAAAATGAAGAGTAATAACACATATTTTAAACTTTAACCCATTTCAAACCACAAAGTCTTAAATAGATGAAAATAAATGCATGTGCTACTGACATAATAGAGATAGGAAAACCAAGAACAGGTAGGGAAATCTGAATAAAATAAAATATTTAAGCCAGATTTTTTTATTGATATAATTATTGAACTTCATTTTTGTTATGAGCTTTCATGCTCCAGTTAAATTGGGAGACACAGTCAATTATTAAGTTTACTTTTTTTTTTTTTTTTAGACAAAGTCTCACTCTGTCATCCAGGCTAAAGTGCAATGGTCTGATCTCGGCTCACTGCAACCTCCATCTCCTGGGTTCAAGCGATTCTCCTGCCTCAGCCTCCTGAGTAGCTGGATTTACAGGCATGCACCACCACACCCAGCTAATTTTGTATTTTTAGTAGAGAAGGGGTTTCTCCATGTTGGTCAGGCTGGTCTGGAACTCCCGACCTCAGATGATCTGCCTGCCTCGGCCTCCCAAAGTGCTGGAATTACAGGCATTAGCCACCACACTTGGCCTAAGTTTTCAATATGAAAAATAAACTTGAGTTCCACTTTTACTTAGAAAGCCATTAAGAGAAAGATATTGCTTCCCCACCACCAAAAAAAGCCATACGAATTGCATAATTATAACTTTACCCCTCTAGAGATTTTGTAAGATTGAAGTTGTAGGTGAACTAAATTTCAAAGAGTAACAAGCATCTTGAGAGATATAGGACATGTTGAACATTACATTTTAGGCAGATCACAGGAGGAAGAAGTGATAGACATGAACATGAGCCAAAAGTAAACCTGTGCATGCAGACATGCATGTGGTAAGTGGCTGACACCTGTGGGCAGGACTGATAATGCCAATGTACTGAACTCTTCTTTTATGCAAGTAATATCCTGGGATTATGTTTTCCACTCTAGTTATTGAATGTCACAATAACTGAGCCATTAAAATGAGAGCATTCCTTGGATGCGTGTCAAATAGAATAACTTTTCCTACCTAATGTCAACTACACAAAACCCTGAAGTCATTTTTATTTGCATCATATATGGATGGTGACTTTTTTGGAGTGGAGAAATTGCTGATTTTTATTTTAAAAACTTTTTGAAGGGGGCCTTCATCATGAATTACTAGAGGCATGTGACACTTGCCTCCTCCACAAGGAAGAATCAAAACAGGGAGTGGATAATCACACTTTAAATAGAGTATCTAACAGAGATCACTAGAATGCAACAAAGAAATGACAGAAAACACCTGAGGCGTGGAAGAAGGAAGCAAGATAGCCAGCCCAGCCGGGATCGGCTGTGAGCCTGCAAAGGCTCCTTAGTATTGGGAAAGAGTAAATGAGAGGTCCCCAGCAATCCATATTCATACCATGGATTCCTGCAATCCTTATCACAGGAGAGCTCCTCTATCCCTGTAGACTCTGAGACTAGTAAAAGGAGCTACCTGGAGTCTATGCAAAGGCAGTGCTCCAGAGATGAAGTTCACACTGGGGTCTCACATCTCACACAATTCCTGAAACCCAAGCAGTAGTAGCATGGCACCATTTTGAGATCCCAACCCCCATCAGACAGTATTAGGCCCCGGGTTCCAACAGTCTCAGCATTTCCACATCCCTGGAGACCTAGCAACATCTCCTACATCCATCCAGAGGGATGTAGTGGCATGACACTTGTTGGACCCATAGTGCAGGCAGATCTCCAGCACTCTAGCCCACACACTATCCTATACTTTGGAAAATGAATGATGTAGCACACTGGGGAGGCTGCTCTCAGGACAAAGGGAGCCAAAGTATATGCTCCCTAGCATCTGAGTGCCCTCCGCCTAAAGCTGCTCTTACTGATAGCATCCAGGCTCCCCTCAGCAGCACAGCCACAGTGCACTTACACATGCCCTGATGATGGGTTCTCCCTGCCAACTGCCGCTGCAGCCACAACTACCCAAGCACACTACCCAGGAACTTCAGAATTGGCTCACCCTCCAACCCCATTCACAGCTTTTACCTATGTAGCCCTGAGGACCAACTACCAGGAGCCACTTCTCCCAGTGCCTGAGCACACCACCCAGGGGGCCTTGTCAGTCACCTTGGGTATGCCTATGCACTGCCGGGAGCCCTAATAACAGGACCAGAATACCTGCAACAATTAGTGCCCAAGCACACCATCCATAGGCCTGGGGGTTTCCCTGCTTAGCCCACCACAGCCTGCACCTGTGTACACCGTCATGGGGCTTAAGGATAGATGCACCCAGCCTGGCATTGTACCCCTGCAGTTCCAGCACTCTATCTGGAGCCTGGGGATTCACCTCTATCCCTCTATCAGTTGCCCTGGGCATGCATGCACACATTTAGAAAGCTAACGGTATGCTCAGAACGACTGCCATTGCTGAGCATGCCATCCAGAAGCCTGGGTATTGCCCTGCCCTATCCACCACCACCAGCACCCATACACTCCTCCTGGGGACCTGAAGATGGACCTGCCCAGCATGCTGCCACCACCATTGCTGGAACCCCCTCCACACACACACCACTTGGGGGCCTGGGGACTGGCCCTCTGAGTCTGTTGCTGCCAAGGCTAATACCACTTTGTGCCACCTGTTAGCCTGAGGGTTGTTCTGCCACAGCCACTGCCATCATGCATGCCATACATGCTGCCCAATGATCCAGGGACACACCTCCATGCGAAGTTCACTGCTGTCACTGCTGTCACTTAAGCAAGTTGTATGAAGGCCTAAGGAACAAACCAATAACCCACTTGAACCTGTTAATATCAGTGCATGCATATGTCACTTAGGGGTCCAGGAGAAGCACACACAGCCCACTACTATAACAATTGAAGCCAAGGACTGGCAACCTGACATCCTCATCCCCAGAAAATCATCAACACAGCCTCCACTGACAACTTCAACCTAAGCCACTGAAGAAATCACAAACATGAGTGATGCTGTTTACAGCTGAAGAAATGCTTCAAAGACTGCATTACTGCATGCACACAGAATCAAAGCTAAAGTGCCTTACCAAACAAACGCCATAGGCATATCTACAGGAAAAAGTCTTCCACTATGAAAGCCAATCCAAAAAATTGGAAAAGTGACTGTTATACCAGATGCACAGGTATCAACATAAGGACACAAGAAGCACAAAAAATTAAGGAAACATGACACCTTCAATGGAGCACAATAATTCTCTAGCAACGATTCCAATGAAAAAAAATTATGAAATGTCTGGAAAAGAATTTAAAATAATAATGTTAAAGAAGGTCAGTAAGACACAAGAGAACACAAGTAAACAATACAAATAAATCAGAAAAACAATTTAGGATAAAAATGAGAAGTACACCAAAAAGATAAATATTATTTTAAAAAACCCCAGAAATCCTACAAATAAAAAAAATCAATGAATGAAATAATAAATACAATTGAAGGATTCAACAGATCAAGAAGAAACTGTTTCAAAAATTGAAGATGGGTCATAGAAATAACCCAGTAAATACAAAAAATAAAAAATAAAACATAATTAGAAAAGCCTACTTGACATATGGAATGCCACATAGTGACAGAATTTTCTAATAATGGGTGTTCCAGAGGAAAAGAATGGAGTAAAGGTATAGAAATTGATTTAAGGAAATAATAGCTGAAAACTTCCCAAAGTCTAATAAGACATTTAAATATCCAAATACAGGAAGCTCAAAGATTCCCAAACACATGCAACCTAAAAACGTTTTATTCAAGACACATTGTAGTCAATCTGTCAATAGTCAAAGAAAAAGGGAGAATTCTAAAAACAGCAAGAGAAAAGAATCAAGTCACATATAAGTGAAATCCCATCAGAATAACAATGGATTGCTCAGCAGAATCCTTACTGGCCAAGAGAGAATAGGATGATATATTCAAAGTGATGAAAGAGGAAAACAATCAAACAAAACCCTGCCAGTCAAGAATACTACACCCAATAAACTTATCCTTCAAAAATGAAGGAGAAATAAAATCTTGTCCAGACAGGCAAAAACGGAGTCAATTCATTACCACTAGATCAGCTCTACAAGAAATGTTTAAGGAAGACCTATGCCTGGAAGTGAGAGGATAATATCCACTGTCATAAAAATAGACAAAAATCTAAAATTCAATTATTAGACTTTTGAAAGAAAAATACACATATGAGGAACAGAAAAGCCTGTTTTTTTTTTTGTTGTTATTGTTGTTGTCATCACTACAAAAAACACCAAGCTGCAATGATAAACAATGAAAAGAGAAGAAAAGAATAAAGGATATAAAAAACAATCAGAAAACAATTAGCAAAATGACAGAAATAAAAACTTACATATCAATAATAATGCTGAATGTAAATGGATTAAATTATCCATTTAAAAGATATAGGCTGGATGAATGGAAAAAACACCTTACCCAACTCTATACTACTTATAGCAAACTTACTTCACCTGTGATGTGTCATATAGACTGAAAATAAAGGGTTGTAAAAAGATATTCCACGCAAATGAAAACCAAAAACAGGCAGGAATAGCTATACTTGCATCAAATGAAACAGACTTTAAGTCAAAAACTATAAACAGGGACAAAGAAGGTTATTATATAATGATAAAGGGATCAATCCAGCAAGAGGATATAAAGGAGCACCCAACACCAGAGCACCCAGATACATAGAGCAAATATTATTAGATCTAAAGGAAGAGATAGACTCTAATACAATAATAATTGAGGATTTTGGCACCCCACTCTCAGCATTAGACAGATCTTCTAGACAGAAAATCAACAAAGAAACACAGGATTTAAGTGGTACTTTAGACTAAATAACCTTAACAGGTATTTACAGAACATTTTATTTAAAAACTGAAGAATACACATTCTTCTCATCAGCACATAGAACTTTCTCCAGGATCCACCATATGTTAGGCCACAAAAGAAGTCCCAATGCATTTTCAAAAACCAAAATCATATAAAGTATCATCTCAGACCACAATGGAATAAACCAAGAAATCAATAAGAAGTTTGATAGTTGTACAAATACCTGGATCTTAAACAACATGCTCCTGAAAGACCATTAGCTCAATTTAAAAAGTAAGAAGAAAATAAAAAAAAAATTGAAACAAACGAAAATGCAAACAAACCTACCAAAACCTATGGGATACAGGAAAAACAGTGCTAAGAGGGAAGTTTATAGCAAAAAATGTCTATGTCATAAAAGCAAAGGATTTTAAATAAAACAACCTAATGATTCAACTCTAGGAACTAGAATAGCAAAAACAAATCAGAGCGAAAATTAGTAGAAGGAAAGAAATCATAAAAATCAGAGCAGAACTAAAGGAAATAAGGACTAATACAACTATATAGAGAATCAACAGAAAATCAGTTTTTTAAAAGATAAAATTAATCAGCTGCTATCCAGACTAACCAGGAAGAAAAGAGAGGACTCAAATAAAATCAGTAAGAAAAATGGACACATCAGAACAAATAACTCAGAAATACAAAAGATAGGCAGAGATTATTATGAACAAATTCACACTAACATACTGGAAAACATTGAGGAAATAGATAAATTTCTGGACACATAAATCTTACCAACATTGAATCAAGATGAATAGAAAACCTGAACAGACCAATAATGAGTAATAAGATTTAATCAGTAATAAAAAAATCTTCCAATAAAGAAAAGCTCATGATCAGATGGCTTCACTGTCAAGTACTACCAAACATATACAGAGGAACTAACATCAATTCTCAAACTCTATCAAAAAATTGAAGAGGAGGAAATTCTTCCTAACTCATTCTACGAGGCCAGCATTATCCTGATACCAAAACCAGAAAAGATGCAACAAAAAAGAAAACTGTAGGCTAGTATTTCTGAAAAATATAGACACAAAAGTCCTCAATAAAATACTAGCAAACAGAACCCAACAGCATATCAAAAAGATAACATACCATGGTCAAGTGGGATTTATTCTTATTTTATTATTATTGCAAGGATGGCTCAGCATACACAAATCAATAAGTGTATGCAAGGATGCAAAGATGGCTCAGCATACACAAATCAATAAGTGTGATATATTCCATTAGCAGAATGAAGGACAAAAACCACACAATTACCTCATAGATGCAGACAAGCATTTGATAAAATTCAGTATCACTTCTTGATAAAAAAAAAACTTTCAAAAAATGATCCATAGAATGAATATACTTCAATGTAATGAAGGCCATATATGACAACTCACAGCTAACATCATACTGAAAGGGGAATATCTGAAAGCCTTTCCTCTAAAATATAGAACAAGACAAGGATGCCCACTTTAATCACTCCTATTCAACATAGTACTGAAAGTCCTAGTCAGGGCAAATCAGGCAAGTGAAACGGAAAGGCAAGTGGAAAGCCATCCAAATTAGAAAAGAGGAAGTAAAATTCTCCCTCTTTGCAGAATACGTGATCTTAAGTCTAGAAAAACCTGAAGATGCCATCAAAAATTCTTTTAGATATGATAAACAAATCTGGTAAAGTTTCAGGATACAAAATCCACATACAAATATCAAGTGTTGCTATATGCCAATAATAAGCTAACTGAAAAACATCAAGAAAGCAATTTCATTTCATTTACAATAGCTACAAAACAAATAAGACACCTATGAATAAATTTAGCCAACGAGTTGAAAGACCTCTGAAGGAAAACTGTAAAACATTGACAAAAGAAACTGAAGAGGACACAAACAAATGAAAAAACATCCCAAGCCCATGGATTGGAAAAATTAATTTTGTTGAAATGACCATACTATCCAAAGCAACCTGAAAATTCAATGCAGTCCCTATCAAACTACCAATGACATTTTCACAGTAATATAAAAAAATCCTAAAATTCATATAGAACATAAAAGGAGCCCACATAGCCCAAGAAATCTTGAGCAAAAAGAACAAAGCTGGAGGCATCACACTACCTCACTTCAAAATGTATTACATGTTATATCAACCAAACGAGCATGGTATTGTTGTAAAAACAGAAACATAGACCAATGGTACAGAACAGAAAACCCAGAAATAAATCCACCTTTTTGTAGCCAATTGATTTTTGACACAGATATCAAGAATGTACATTGGAGGAAGAGTAAATTCTTCAATAAATAGCGCTGAAAAAATTGAATTGCCATATGCAAAAGAATACAACTAAACTCGTGTATCTCTCCATATAAAAAGAATCAACTCAAAGAGGACTACAGTCTTAACATTTAAGATCTGAAACTGTAGTACTACTAGAAGGAAATGTACAGAAAACACTCTAAAGCATTTGTCTAGGCAAAGATTTTATGACAAAGACTTCAAAAGCTCAAGTAACAAAAACAAAAGTGGACAAATGGAACTATATTAAACAAAACAGTTTCTGCATACCAAAGGAAACCATCAACCACAGTGAAAAGACAACCTTTTCAATGGGAGAAATTATTTGTAAACTATTCATCCAACAAGAGTCTAATATGTAGAAATACACAAGGAACTCAAACAACTGAATAATAAAAATAATAATAATAATCTCTGGCCTGGTTCGGTGGCTCATACCTGTAATTCTAGCACTTTGGGAAGCTGAGGCGGGTGGATCACCTGAGGTCAGGAGTTCGAGACCAGCCTGGCCGAAAGGGCGAAAACCTGTCTCTACTAAAAATACAAAAATTAGCCGGGCGTGGTGGTGGGTGCCTGTAATCCCAGCTATTCAGGAGGCTGAGGCAGGAGAATCACTTGAAGCCGGGAGGCAGAGGTTACAGTGAGCCTAGTTCACACCATTGCACTCCAGCCTGGGCAACAGGAGCGAAACTCTGTCTCAAAATAATAATAATAATAATAATAATAATTAATAATCTCATTAACGGCAAAGAACATGCCTCAAAAAATACATACACATGGTCAAGAGATATTTTTAAAAATACTCAACATCATTAATCATCAGGGAAATGCAAGTCAAAACCCCAAAGATATATCACTTCACCCCAGTTAAAATGGCTATCATCAAAAAGAAAGAAAATAACAGACACTGGCAAGGATGTGAGAAAAAGGGAACTTTTATATACCATTGGTGGAATGTAAAGTAATATAATCTTTATGGAAAACAGTAGGAGATTTCTCAGAAAACTAAAAATAGAACTACAGTACAATCCAGAAATCCCTCTAATAGGTATTTATCCAAAGGAAAGGAAATCATGATACCAAAGAGATATCTGCACCCCCATGTTTATTGCAGCACTATATACAACAGCCAAGATATGAAATCAGCCTAATTGTCCATTGACAGGTAAATGAATAAATAAATGTGCTATATATACACAATGGAATTCTATTTGGCCATAAAAAAGAATGAAATCCTGTGATTTGTAGCAACATGGATGAAACTGGAGGTCATTATGTTTGGTGAAATAAGATGGGCACTGAAGGACAAATTTTGCATGCATTCACTCATATGTGAGAGCTAACAAAGTAGATCACGTGGAGGTAGAGAAGAGAATGATAGAAACCAACAGCTGGGAAGGATGTGTGGGTGAAACTGGGGGACACAGAGAGGTGGGTTAATGAATTCAAACATTCAGTTAGATAGAAGTTGTAAGTTCTAATATTCAGTAGCAGAGTAAGGTGACTATAGTTAGCAGCAATGTATTTTATATATTTCAAAGTAGCTAGAAGAGAAAACCTGAAATATTCCCAACACATAGAAAGGATAAATATTCAAGGTGATAAATACCCCAAATATGATGATTTGATCACTATACATTCTATTCATGTAACAAAATATCCCATGTAGCCCATATATATGTAAAATATTCTGTATCAGTAAAAATATATAGACTGTATTGGCTGTTTTCTTGTCTTCAATTTACAGGTAGACCCCACATGTCATTTGTCTGTATCAACACTGTTCAATATAGCATGGGACACTAACTAATGTGTGGATGAATAAATCCATTCATTTGTCCTGATTGATATTAATTAAATGAAATCATTTGAATTAACATACACAATATAATAACATAATCAGTATCCAGAGAAGTGATATTAGATTTTATATTTCCTAATAGTTAAGCAAGAAATTTGTATTTTTAGCTATAACTGTTTCAATAAACTAAATTTATAACTAAAAATAATAAATAGTTTAGGAATCTACTCCCTCTTACCTCTAACTGCATTTTAGAAACACTTTTAGAAAACTTTCAGGAAGGTAGTATAATGAATTTAGACTTATTTTTTAGAGACATTATTTACTAAGGGCTAAATGAATGAAGAGCAACTGAATTTTCCTTGATCTCCTTGTCTGCCTCACAACTTAAAAGTGATTTAAAAAAGAGGCAACGCTTCCCAATTGGTAGGTCATATTTCAATTGACCACACAGGGTTCTTGAGTCAGTTAGCTAATGAGATTTTACTGTCTATCTGTAATGAGAATAAAGAAAAACAGTATGTTTTACCAGGATGGGTCATTCAATACCATGACCATGCAAGAGGCTGAAACAGAGATGAAATGTTCAGCAAACTCTAACTCATTATCTCTGCAAGCAGAGGTCTAAAGGGCAAGGGTATTAGTGGTGACTTTTAAAACAACTTAATGTATATTTCATGGAAATGGTCAAAAAGATTATTTTTGAGAAGAAAATGTCACATTATTTACTTTTAGGGGCTCTGTTGCAAAAAGGGCAGAATAATAATATAGGGCAAATGATTGTCCTACCCTGATGATTTTCAGGAAGTTGATTAGCATTGCTAGGAATTCTTTTGTATTAAATTATTCTTTTATTAGGTATTGACAGACGTGTTTAGAGTTAATTTTCTTGTAGGAATATTTTAAACTTGAACCTTTTCTCATTTTATTCCACTCTTAAACAGGGGTCACAAAGGTAACTCAGGGAAGGAACTCTGTATATATGTCAGGACAATATGAATTACTGAGGAAATGCTCGGAAGGAAGAACATTCATTATTTTCATTTAGAAGCTTCTTATCTCCCAAGAAAGCACTACAGATTAATGAATAGACATTAGAGTAGCAAGCTGAGTCATATGTGAAGATTTCAGGCCTTCACCTGAAAGAAATCTGCTGTTCAACCCTTTTATGTGTTTGTGAAAGCAAAAGACAAAGGTGATATCAGTCAAAATTACCTATTTGATTTTTCTTCTGTTACCTCTTTAATAAGGACAGTTTGATGTACATATGTGTATGTAAATGACAGATTAAAGAAGGTGATTTGTAAGTGCATCATTGAAAGCACCATTTTAATTAGCCTTCTTTAACAGGCACTGCCTGGATGTAGCATTCAGTTTGGAATACCAAACACTGTCTGATTTCATTCCTCCCTAAGCTTGTCTGTATTTAGAAGTCATCAATAATGAAACTAATTTCTTTCATCTCTATGGGCACTCACAATGAAAAATGAACAAACAAGTTGAAGTGAATATAAATATTAGATGCTTAAATATATTGCTCTTCATCACAGCACAGGGGCTGAGCATTGTGTTGATCTGGGCACATTCTACACCTGACAGAGTCATTTCAGTTTCTTTCAAAATGATAAATAGGTCAAGGAGCTCAACCACATAACTAGTAACATGTATAGGATCTAGTTCTCCATATAAAAACGTTGAATTTTCTATGCTTGCATTAATCTTTCATGAAAAAAAGGAAGAGAGGAAAAGAAAGAGAGAGAGAAGAAACTTAAAAACTGTTAAAGGAACCATAGATATCAAAGTTATTTTTTTCATTTTTTTTTTCTAACAGCTTGTGAAGAGACACATTTCATTTCACTATAGGAATTTCGATATGGAAACAAAATGTAGGTAAATTAATGTTTTTAGATAATATCAACATATGAGTGCACTCTTAATTTTTGTACGGACCACTAAGAACTCTTTGCCTATTCAAAAACTTACATTGGCTCTTCATGACTAATAAACTGGGTACAGATTCCTCTGACTTGGTATTTAAGTTTCTCTGCAATATCGTATTAGTAAGGATTCTCCATAGAAGAAGAACCAATAGAATTTATATAGATATAAAAGATTTATTAGGGAAATTGGCTCACAGTATGCCATCTGCAAGGCTCACAGTACGCCATCTGTAAGGCAGGGAACTGAAAAAGTTGGTGGTCCAATTCAGTCTGAATCAGAAGACTCAAGAACAAGGATCTCTGATATTCAAAGGAAAGATAAGATAGATGAGCCAGCTCAAGAAGAGAGACATTATCTTTCCTTCCTCTACTTTTTTTGTTGTATGTGGGTCCTCAATGGATTGGATGATGCCTTCCCTTATCGGTGAGGGCAAATCTTCCTTACTCAGTTCACTGATTCAAATCTTACTCAGTCCATATCTCTTTCAGAAACACCCTTAAAGATTCACAGACACACCAAGAACTGATGTTTTACTAATTATCATGGTATCCATTAATGCAGTCAAGTTGACACATAAAATTAATGATCACAAATATGAATATGAATGCTACCTATCTCTGTATATGTATCTCTTATTGCTTATCTACATTTAACTAACACAAAGTACCTGGGCCATTCTCAGAAACTACCCTGCTTGTCCTCACTTGTGTTCCTTAGCTCACATTATTACCTTTAGTATATATATATGCCCCTAAAGTACCATGCTTTTAATTTTTTCTCCTTCAGTGAATCTTTCTTAATTCCTCCAGCTCCATAAGGCTGGCAATTTTTTGATTGTTTGGTCTTGAGCAATATCTTGTACATAGTGGCAGCTCAAAAAATAATTGTTGAATGAATAAAGTGCTGATTTATTCTGTAGCCCCTTCCGTGCCTCCTAATTCTTTGCACATGGTAGACAGTCAGTACATACCTATTGAACTACGGCACATTTTTTAAATGCTGTAAGTACAAATGTTAGTTGCAGATGTCTGACTTTGAAACCTAATTAATGTTTATCCCTTTGGAGTTGTGAATATTTTGAAAGCAGTTCTATCCAGGAGTGGGGATTAAGATTTGGACCCTCCTCAAGACAGAAGAGGTCTCCTGAAGTCCTTTAGCTTTATGGCAGCCCCACTTTATAAAAGTGATCCCTTGGCTAAGAGTTTTATAATAAAAATGGATTTTACCATAGCCTGCTTTCTGCCTTTTCTGTCTGGTTACATAAGAGTCATCTTCTGTTGAGATCTAGATTCCTCTTCTTTAGTGGTTTTCTACTTGTGCTCTGTGAAGATCTACAGTTCTACAGCGATGCTTCAAGGGTTTTCACAAATACTGGAATCAAATGTTATAAATATGAACAATGTTTTAAAAGTTTCAAGAGAAGCTAAAGCACTTGAATATTGTAGCACATTTTAACACATTGGAGACACAAGAAGTAAATGTGTATTCTCAGTTTAGCTAAGATTTTGTGCTATTCATCTCTTGACATGGCTGTTTCTTATGTTTAGAATGTTTTGAAAAAGTATAATGAGTAAAGACGTGAGCAGTTCTGCATTGTTTTTGCTTTGCTTTGTTTTTGAATCTAAAGTTGTGTGGGTTTGTACAAATAAAAGCATACCAATATACAGTACTTCAAGACATATGTGCATGAGAAATTAATAGCAATACAAGCTTTAATACATCAATTCATGGCATGTTATCCTCATTAATTCATGTGATAAATATAAAAAATAATATTACCTAAGTGTTCATTACCTACTGGTAAAGCTCTAGGCTCTAGGAATATAGATATAAATAAAACAAAGTGCTTTCATGGACCTGGAATGTTGGTGAAAGGTAGGAGAGAAAATAAGCAATAGAAAATGCTTGTACAATATGCTAAGTCACTGTAAGAATGTATAAAAAAAATGAGCAGAAGAGTAATGGTTTTGAAATACCTATCTAATGAGATGATATTTGAGCAGAGATCTGAGGGGATGGCAAATCCCTTAGAAATTCTTAGGGTAGAGTGTTCTGGGAAGTGCAAGTGTGAAAGCCCTAACAGAAAGTCCTGCCCATCAAGGACCAGCAGAGATCTGGGTGACCAAAGTGAAATCAGCAAGGAAAAAATCGAAGGGAGATGAGCTCAGAGAGTTCAGCAGGGAAACTGATATGAAACTGAAGAGTAGTTTGAGATTGTAAGAGGAGCTGCTAAAATAAAGTAACAGCAATTTCTCTGTGGGAACCAGAACACTCTCAATATCATGTACCCAGAACCAAAGTGAGGCAGAATCTAATAGAGGAGCAGAAGAATCACTAATAACACAAAATCAAACTGTTGTGTTCATCAAAACAATCAAAGTTTTAATGATTTATTTTATAAGATTACTTAATGCAAACTAAAAGTGAATATCAAAACTCATTTTTATCTCCTTTTAGTTTTTCAATGCCCAATAATATTTCATTAAAATATAATTTTCAGCTTAAAAGGGTTATTATGTATAACTCACAATCATTGATGTAGTCATGTGGAACTTGGATAAATTAACAGGTAATGTTGTAACTCCTCAGATGACAAACATTAACAAGAAAATAGAAGTTATATTCATATACCAAGAAAGTAAGTCATTAGAGCCACCTATTTTACTTCTCTTTATCATAATTTTTTGTTAGAGTGTGGTATGAGCACTCATAATAATGAAAGAGAACACAACTAGTAAGACATAGGAAAATATAGTATCTGTTCCCTGCTCTAATTTATAAGTGAGATTAGATTATTGCTTGTTTCCCTAAGGCAATATGATATCATAAAATCAATTTAATTAAATGTTCCATGATTCTGCAAACTGTAGTACTAGTATACTAAGCTAATAAGTGAGATAAAATTTAGTTTAGATATTTAATTTCCAAGTAGAAAATAATAGCACAGGAAGTTTTTAGCTTTTAAAAAGACTATTGAAAATGTTTTAAACAAAGTAGAATCACTCACAATGAACATCTGACATTATAATGAACTCTTCTTGAAAATACGTCCGGGTCTGCATCTTGACATATTAATATATAAAGAAACGAAACAAATAGAAGTGATTTGATACATAAATAATATGTTTAATCTATTTTGATTATGTAGAGTAATAACAATTATGCAGTAATAATACAATAATTTATTTAGTTCACCAACTAATAATTTTATTATATACTTGTATAATAATTGAGTCTGTGGATAATAAATTGTAACTAGTTTTTAAAACTAGTTTGATATTTGAAACTATGCCTTAACTGAAGAGATAAAGTAATTGCCCTATATAAAACAATAAGCAATATGTATTAAAATAAAAGATAAAGACTTTTCTCCCATTAAATTATAGAGCAGTAGAGAGAAAATTGATAATGATATAGAATACCTGAACACATGATCAACTAAATTAGTCTATTTGAATCCCAGCTCAACAACAGAATACACATTTTCTCAAATGCACATGAAACATTCAACAAGATAGATCATTTTCTAGCTCATTAAACCACTACAAACTAAAAAAAATGTATATTTTCTTATCTCATCATAGATTAAAATTTAAAATCAGTAACAGAAAAATATCAAAAAACCCCAAACATAAAAATTAAATTAAAAAATTCTAAGTAATATATGGATCAAGTAGGAGGTCTTGAAGGAAGGAAATTTCAAAATATAGTAAAATAAATAAAAATAAAATTGCAGCATATCAATACATGTGAGATTCAGGCGAAGTAGTGAGTAGAGGGACATTTAAAGTGTTGGCTATTTTTATTAGAAGAAAATAAATTATCTCAAATCAGTAATCTTAACAGCCACCTTATGAAACAAGTAAAATAAGATAATTTGTATACAATGCAATAAGAAGGTATTATATAGTAAATATGTGAGCAAAATCAATGAAATTGGGAACAGGGAAACAATAGAAATTGTCAATGAAAAAATTATCAAAATTGTTGGGGAAGAAACAATAAAATTTATAAAGCTCTGGCCAACTAGCCAAGAAAAAAAGAAAGAGTACATCTAGCAACTTCGGGAATGAAGGGTAGTCACAGATATTAAAATAATATGAAGGAAATACTATGAATAACTCTCTGCCTATTAATTTGAAAACCTAGATGGAATGGATTAATTTCTTAAAAAAAAAGCCACCAAAAGTTACTCAAAAAGAAATAATCTTAATAGGCCTATATCTATTGAAGAGATTTAATATGTCTTAAAAACCTTTCAAAAAAGAAATCATCCTTATAGTACACACATTGCCTGGAGAGTGTTCTTGCCAATAATATATAACTTTTAACTATTTGTATGAAGACAAACAGAGAGATGTTATGAAAAGCAACTGATTTTGACTATTCAAAAATATCAGTGATCCCAAAAGACAAGAGGCTGGGAAACTTTCTTTAGGACACTGACAAAGAAAATGAAACCTGACTCACAATGGGATCCTATATTTAGGCAAATAATAACATAAGAAGAGTTATAAAGTACAGTAACAAGATAATTGGGAAGTCTTAAATACAAACTTTATATCATAATTTCAGTTTATTGTATTGTATCAACATTTTTATGGGATATATTTATGGTATTGGTCTTATACAGGAGTATGTTTTAGTTCCCAGAATTTAGGTTGCAATATGTAGGGTTAAGTGCAATAATGTCTACAAATTAATTTCAAATGCTTTAGAAATAAACTAATAAATAAATGCCCCTGATAATTAGTGATATTGAGCATTTTTTCATGTTTGTTGGCTGTTTGTATATCTTCTTTTGAGAATGATTATTCATGTCTGATATGGTTTAGCTGTGTCTCCACCCAAATCTCATCTTGAATTCCCACGTGTTGTAGGAGGGATCCCGTGGGAGATAATTGAATCATGGGGGCGGGTCTTTCCCCTGCTGCTCTCATGATAGTGAATGAGTCTCACCAGATCTGATGGTTTCATAAAGGAGAGTTTCCCTGCACAAGCTCTCCTCTCTTGTCTGCTGCCATGTGAGACATGCCTTTCACTTTCTGCCATGATTGTAAGGCCTCCCCAGCCACGTGGAACTGTGAATTTGCCATTAAACATCTTTTCTTTGTAAATTGCTGAGTCTTGGATATGTCTTTATCAGCAGCATGAAAACGGACTAATACAGTAAATTGGTACCAGTAGAGTGGGGTGCTGAGGAAAAGATACCCAAAAATGTGGAAGCAACTTTGGAACTGTGTAACAGGCAGAGGTTGGAATGGTGTAGAGGGCTCAAAAGAAGATGGGAAAATGTGGAAAAGTTTGGAACTTCCTGGAGACTTGTTGGATGGCTTTGCTCAAAATGCTGATAGTGATATGGACAAAAAAATCCAGGCTGAGGTGGTCTCAGATGGAAATGAGGAAATTGTCGGGAACTGGAGCAAAGATGAATCTTGCTATGTTTTAGAAAAGGAATGGCCAGCATTTTACCTCTGCCCTAGAGATTTGTGCAACTTTGAATTTGACAGAGATGATTTAGGGTATCTGACGGAAGAAATTTCTAAACAGCAAAGCATTCAAGAGGTGACTTGCGTGATGCTTAAGACATTCAGTTTTATAAGGGAAGCAGAGCATACATAAAAGTTTGGAAAATTTGCAGCCTGAAAACGTGATAGGAAAAAAATCCCATTTTCTGAGGAGAAATTCAAGATGGCTGCAGAAATTTGCATAAGTCACAAGAAGTCAAATGTTAATCCCCATGGCAATGGGAAAGATGTCTCCAGGGCGTGTCAGAGGTCTTTATGGTAGCCTGTCCCAGCACAAGCCCAGAGGCCTAGAAGAAAAAAATGGTTTTGTGAGCTGGACCCAAGGTCCCCATGCTGTGTGCAGCCTAGGGACTTGGTGCCCTACACCCCAGCTGCTCCAGCAGTGGCTGAAAGGAACCAATGTAGAGCTCTGGGTGTTGCTTCAGAGAGTGGAAGCCCCAAGCCTTGGCAACTTTCACGTGGTGTTGAGACTGCGGGTGCACAGAAGTCAAGAATTAAGGTTTGGGAATCTCCGCCTAGATTTCAGAGGATATATGGAAGTGCCTGGATGCCCAGGAAGAAGTTTGCTGCAGGGGTGGGGCCCTCATGGAGAACCTCTGCTAGGGTGGTGAAGAAAGGAAAAGTTGGGGTTGAAGCCTCCACACAGAGGTCCTCCTGGGGTACTCCCTAGTGGCCTGTGAGAAGAGGGCCACCATCCTCCCAACCCCAGAATGGTAGATCCACTGACAGCTTGCAACATGCACCTGGAAAACCACAGACACTCAATGCCAGACCATGAAAGCAGCTGGGAGGTAGCCTGTACCCTGCAAAGCCACAGTGACAGAGCTGCTCAAGACCATGGGAACCCACCTCTTGCATCAGCATGACCTGGATATGAGACATGGAATTAAAGGAGATTATTTTGGAGCTTTGAGATTTGACTGCCCCACTGGATTTTGGACTCGCATGGGGCCTTTAGTCCCTTTGTTTTGACCAACTTCTCCCATGTGGAATGGCTTTATTTACCCAATGCCTGTACCCCATTGTATCTAGGAAGTAACTAACTTGCTTTTGATTTTACAGGCTCATAGGCAGAAAGGACTTGCCTTGTCTCAGACTGGACTGTGGACTTTTGAGTTAATGCTGAAATGTGTTAAAACTTTGGGGGACTCTTAGGAAGGCATGATTGGTTTTGAAATGTGAGGACATAAGATTTGGGAGGGGCCAGGGGCAGAATGATATGGTTTGGCTGTGTGCCCACCCAAATCTCATTGTGAATTCCCACATGTTGTGGGAGGTACCCCATGGAGGTAATTAAATCATGGAGGCAGGTCTTTCTAGTGCTGTTCTCATGATAGTCACTAAGTCTCATGAGATCTGATGGTTTCAAAAAGGGTGGTTTCCCTTCACAAGCTCTCTTCTCTTGTCTAACACCATGTGAGACATGCCTTTCACCTTCCACCTTCCACCATGATTTGAGGCTTCCCCAGGCACACGGAACTTTGAGTTGTCCATTAAACCTCTTTCCTATGTAAATTGCCCAGTCTCTGACGTGTCTTTATCAGTTGCATGAAAACAGAATAATACAATGTCTTTAGCCCACTTTTTGATGATATTATATGCTTCTTTCTTGCTGATTTATTTGAGTTCCTTGTAGGATCTAGATATTAGTCCTTTGTCAGATGCATGATTTGCAAATATTTTCTCCCACGGTGTGAGTTGACTGTTTGCTGATTATTTCTTTGGCTGTGTAGAAGCTTTTTAGTTTAATTAGGTCCCACTTATTTATTTATCTTTTTGCTGCATTTGCTTTGGAGGTCTTAGTCCTGAATTCTTTGCCTAAGCTCATGTCACGAAGAATTTTTCTGATGTTATCCCCTAAATTTTTCATGGGGTCAGGTCTTAAGATTTAAATATCTGATCCATCTTGAGTTTGTTTTGTATAAGGTAAGAGATGAAGATCCAGCTTCATTCTTCCACATGTGCCTTGCCAGTTTTTCCAGTTTTTATGGAATAGGGTGTCCTTTGCTTTTGTATGTTTTGTCAAAGAACATTGGCTGTAAGTATTTGGATTTATTTCAGGTTCTCTATTCTGTTGGTCTATGTGCCTATTTTTATACCAGTACCATGCTGTTTTGGTAACTATAATCTTGTAGTATAATTTAAAGTTGGGTAACGTGATGCCTCCAGATTTGTTCTTTTTGCTTAGTCTTGTTTAGGCTATGTGGGCTTTTTTTTCTTTTTTTGGTTCCATATAAATTTTAGAATTGTTTTACTAGTTCTGTGAAGAATCCTGAAAGTATTCTGATGGGAATTGCATTGAATCTGCAGATTGCTTTTGACAATATGGTCATTTCCACAATATTGATTCTACCCATCCATGAGTATGAGATGTGTTTCCATTTGTTTGTAATATTTATGGTTTCTTTCATCAGTGCTTTGTTTTCCTTGTAGAGATCTTTCACCTTCTTGGTTAAGTATATTTCTAAGTATTTTATTTTTTTGCAGCTGCTGTAGAAGGAATTGAATTCTTGATTTGATTCTCAGCTTGGTGGTTGTTGGTGTACAGGAGTGCTACTGATTTGTGTACATTGATTTTGTTTCCTGAGACCTTATTGGATTTATTTATCAAATCTAGAAGTATTTTAGAGAAGTCTTTAGGGATTTCTAGGTAAACAATCATATCATCAATGAACAGTTACAGTTTGACTGGGATGCCCTTTATGTCTTTCTCTTGTCGATTCCTCTGTCTAGAACTTCCAGTGCTATGATGAATAGAAGTGGTGAAAGTGGACATCCTTGTTTTATTCCTGTTCTCAAGGGAAATGCTTTCAGCTTTTCCCCATTTAGTACGAGGTTGGCTGAAGGTTTGTCACAGGTGGCTTTTATTACTTTGAGGTGTGTCCTTTCTAGGCCAATTTTGTTGAGGGTTTTTTTTTTTCATCATAAAGCATGCTAAATTTTATCAAATGCTATTTTCTGCATCTGTTGAGGTGATTATATGATTTTTGTTTTTAATTATGTTTATGTGATTTATTACATTTATCGATTTGTGCATGTTAAACCATCCCCGCATTCCTGTTATGAAACCCACTTGAGCGTGATATATTATCTTTTTGATATGCTGTTGGATTTGATTAGCTAGTATTTTGTTGAGGATTTTTGCATCTATGTTCATCAGAAATAGTCATCTGCAGTTTTCTGTTTTTGTTATATCCTTTCCTGGTTTTGGTATTAGGGTGATACTGACTTCAGAGAATGGTTTAGGATGAATTCTCTATGTCTCTATTTTTTGGAATGGTTTCAGTAAGATTGGTACCAATTCTTTTTTCAATGTCTGATAGAATTTAGCTGTTAATCAATCTGGTCCTGGACTTTATTTGTTGGCAATGTTTTTATTACTGATTCAATCTTGCTGCTCATTATTGGTCTATTCAGAGTTTCTATTTCTTCCTGATTTAATCTAGGAGGGTTGTATATTTTCAGGAATTTATCCATCTCCTCTAGATTTTCTAGTTTGTGTGCAAAAAGTTGTTCATAGTAACCTTGAATAATTTTTTATATTTTTGTGGTATTGGTTGTAAGAACTCCCATTTCATTTCTAATTGAGCTTATTTGGATCTTCTCTCTTCTTTTCTTGGGTAATCTCACTAATAGTCTATTAATTTTCTTTATCTTTTCAAAGAACCAGCTTTTTGTTTCATTTATCTTTTGTATTTTTTTGTTTCAATTTCATTTACTTCTGCTCTGATCTTTACTTCCTTTCTTCTGTTGGGTTTTGGTTTAGTTTTTGTTTCTCTAGTTTCTTGAGGTGTGACATTGTTCATATCTCTATTATAATTAATAGCAAGTTTTTCATAGCAAAATTGTTATCACAGCATTATTAATTTTTGCATTTCCCACTGAACAAGTACACAACATTGCATAGGGCAGACACACAATATCTGTTCTTTGAATGTAATAAAATTTGACTTAATTAATATTTAGGCTTTACTGCAATACATTATATGAAAACTATTTTCAAGAGCCCAAATCGAGTGAAATAAGCTTGTCAATTTGTACGCATTTAATCATAATCTATAGGACTTATATTAAGCATTCTTAGATGTAGTAAAATTGGTCAATGAATGGAATGTGGAAATGAGGAAAGCCATTATATAAATTTATATTTGTGCACATAACTGTACATTTAAAATGAGAACAGAAGATGGAAGCATAACAAAACTAATAATAAGCAAATGGCTTAAATGTTTAGTTCAAGTATCAGACTTATTGTGGATGATTATAGATGATGATGGAATCTTTTTGTAGATTCCAAACATGTTATTCTCCTCTAGAACCTCTCATATAGTCATAGACTTTTTGAATAGAGAAATAAAAAATGATACATGTCTTCTGATTTCGCTCTTATACTTTTATCACTATAATAAGATGGGAAAGTTGCTGTTTTATTTAGACTCTCACAAGAGGAATTATATCAGATTTTTAAAAGAAATGATGAGAAATTAGGGATGTGTACTATGTGTTACTAGCTGTGTTTAATTTGCATCATAGAAATATCACTAACTATTCTGACATAGAGATTTGAAAACCAAATTTTAGAAAAAAGTAATAGCAAAAATATTATTGTTCAATTCAAGGATAAATAAAAAATTCAATCTTATTTAAAGAAATGTACTAAGTAAATAATGTAGGTGGTTTGTAATGGAGCAAAAACCATGAAAATGGTTTGAATGAAATTTGTATAATTCAAAATTATATAAAATGTCTCTTGCTTTGTAGCAGCACTTTATTGTAGTTTTAGTCTTGAGTATTGTTTTTGTTTTATTTTCTGATCTTTAAGTTTATTTTCAATGGAAGGTTAGAGAAGTCTACTTGTAATCAGTTAACAGACATCCATTTTAAACCATTAACCACAAGCTAAGCAGGAAAAGGAACAGATATTTTAAAAATTATAATTTTGTTAAAATTTTAACATGACAAGGCATGACACACCACATTTTATCTTGAAGTTTTCAGCTTCAGCACACAGTCACTATACCATGCAATTGCATGCCAAGATTTTTTTCTGATCCTGAAAGCAAATCTTACCAGATAAAGTAATATTTTACTTTCAGGTTCCCAGCTATGTAGAAAAAATTGTGGGTTCAAAAGAACAAAGTAACCAATTTTTCAACTGTTTTTCATTTATTTCAGGAGACATCTGTTGAGTACTTATGTTAGTCATTGTGGATGCAAAGTCAAATGAGATGGGTGTATTCAAAGAGCTGAATTTAGTAGAGAGCTATCAGCAAATAGCTTAATTTTGCCCCCCACAATTGTTTTCAATTGTTTCATCTGTTCTTAGTTCCTGAGCTTTATCATTTATCTTGGATACTGAATGTATCAGCAACTAACAAGTTCCTTCTGAGCTAAATCACATTTTTTTTTCTGACATACAATTTGAAACAGCTTCTCTTTCCTCATCCAAGGCCTAACCCAGACTCAGTTTTCTACCAAGAGAATGGGAATCATCACTGGATTATTTACTTGCTTCCTTTACCTTAATCTGTAATTGTAAGCAGCTGTTTTGATTTCCCCATGATCAGATGGATGAAGAGTGAATCAAAAAGAAAAAAAGGAGGAGGAGAACAAAGAGGGAGGGAATAAAGGAAGGAAGGAGGGAAGGGAAGGAGGGAGGGAGGCAAAGGAAAGGAAAAAAAGAGACAAAGTCTTTATTAATGGCTGCTGTTGTAATTGAGCATCGGAGCCCTTTGGGTGCCTTTGGGTTAAGGTTTACCCTTTGGGTTAAGGTTTGCCTGGACCTCTCAGGCATCATCCTCTGGCAAGGCCCTTTAAGGAAGGCCCCACCTCCATCGCTCTTGCAGTCTAATCTGGCACACAAGGAAAGCTTCCCATCTTTAAACACCCCAGCTTAGAGCAAAGACTGCTCCACCTGTGACCCTCTTGACTCAGAAACCACAGCTTCTTGATTCTAGAGTTTTGCTCCAGAGTCAAGCACCAAACTATGTGTGTGCCAGATCCCAGGGACACAGTTCACATGCTCTCCACAACAATTAAATAAAACGATGTGATCTAGATGTGAGCAGAGAATTAAATGTGCTACACATACTGTCCAAACGTGTCCGGAATTGGTGGATTCTTTGTCTCACTGACTTCAAGAACGAAGCTGTGGACCCTCGCAGTGAGTGTTACAGTTCTTAAAGGTGGCGTGTCCAGAGTTTTTTCCTCCTGATGTTCGGACATGTTCGGAGCTTGTTCGGACATGTTCGGAGTTTATTCCTTCTGGTGAGTTCATGGTCTCGCTGGCTTCAGGAGCAAAGCTGCAGACCTTCACGGTGTTACAGCTCTTAAGGCAGCGTGTCTAGAGTTGTTCATTCCTCCCGTCCAGAATTGTTCATTCCTCCTGGTGGGTTTGTGGTCTCACTGGCCTCAGGAGTGAAGCTGCAGACCTTCCTGAAGAGTATTACAGCTCATAAAGGCAGTGCGGACCCAAAGAGTGAGCAGCAGCAAGATTTATTGCAACGAGAGAAAGAACACTTCCATAGTGTGGAAGGGGACCCGAGCAAGTTGGGACTGCTGGCTCCGCAGCCTGTTTTTAATTCCTTATCTGGCCCCACCCACATCCTGCTGATTGGTCCATTTTACAGAGAGCTGATTGGTCCGTTTTGACAGGGTGCTGATTGGTGCGTTTACAATCCCTGAGCTAGACACAAAAGTTCTCCAAGTCTCCACTAGATTAGCTAGATACAGAGTGCTGATTGGTGCATTTACAAACCTTGAGCTAAACTCAGAGTGCTGATTGGCATGTTTACAAATCTTGAGCTAGACACAGAGTGCTGATTGGTGTGTATACAATCCTCCAGCTAGACATAAAAGTTCTCCAAGTCCCCACTAGACTCAGGAGCCCAGCTGGCTTCACCTAGTGGATCCCGCACTGGAGCCGCAGGCGGGGCTGCCTGCCAGTCCCATGCAGTGCGCCTGCACTCTTCAGCCCTTGGGAGGTCAATGGGACTGGGCGCCACGGAGCAGGGGACGGCGCTCATCGGGGAAGCTCTGGCTGCATGCAGAAGCCCATGGCGTAAGGGAGGCTCAGGCAAGGCAGGCTGCAGGTCCCGAGCCCTGCCCCGCAGGGAGGCAGCTGAGACCCGGAGAGAATTTGAGCGCAGCACCAGTGGGCTGGCACTGCTGGGGGACCTGGTGCACCCTCCACAGCTGCTGGCCTGGGTGCTAAGCCCCTCACTGCCCAGGGCCAGCAATGCCAGCTGGCCGCTCCAAGTGTGGAGCCCGCCAAGCCCATGCCCACCCGGAACTCGCACTGGTCTGCCAGAGGGAGCCAGCTCTGGCCTCGGCCAGCCCAGAGAGGGGCTCCCACAGTGCAGCAGCAGGCTGAAGGGCTCCTCAAACGCGGCCAGTGTGGGCACCGAGGGCGAGGAGGCAACAAGAGTGAGCGAGGGCTGCCAGCACAGTGTCACCTCTCACAAACATAAATAATCATTGTCTGAGTAGTGAAAATATAGATTTACTTTTCTTCTGTTTGCATAACTAATTGTTGTAAAGTGACAAATTTAACTGAGAACCTACTTTTATTTTTAAATTAGTAATTTTAGTTTCTTTTAAAAGAAATTTAAATTTATATTAGAGGTATCAAAATATTTATAATAAACAATTACACTACTTACCAATTATTAGCTTTTTAATTCTAGTTATAACAATTGTAATTTAGGGTGTAATTTATTTTTATCCCAATTACTTTAATTCCCCACCTCCTCCCCAAAATTTTCCAAATGATAAGCCTCCCTTAGTCCCATATGAAGTATGGCTTACATGATTTTTCTTAAGTTTTTTACATAGAAACTTTCATTTCCATCTTGAAGCCATTTGATGAAAGTATAGGAGGTTGCTGGCACATGGGATTTTTTTTAAAAAAGGAATAAAAACTGTAATGTGCCTATAAGTGAATTATAAGGGAAGGCATTTAAACAATTCACATTCAAGAATAAACTGGTTCAAATTTTCAAAATGTTTGCTACTTTTTCTGAAAGCATTAATTATAGTTTGTTCTTCTATACGAGACATCTTTAAGAAAGTAACAGTATTTGTAAGTGCAAAATATATTATATCTGTTAGGTGGCTTTCTAGATAATTAGAAAGTTCCTTATTTTAAAATGCAGAAGTTCCAGTAACTATATTAGCAGTATCTCAAAGATATAAATCAGAATAATGCCAAAAGTAGAAGTACTCATTAATAAATTATTAAAAATATTTCACTTTCAGAAAGAGACGTTCTACTCCAAAGAAGAAGGGGAAAAATTAAAAAGATACAATTAATACATTGTATGTTTTTAAAGATAAGCTCACTTTTTTCTTCAGAAAGGACATCTTTATGTTTTAGTACTCTGAATTACTCTGTTCAAAAAGAACTTCCATTTAAGTCATTATTTAAGTAGAGGTCACGTGCAAAAGAGATCTTCCTCTGTAGCAAGTTTTCATTTCAAGACATAGGCTGATGACAAAGTAAGTTTTAAAGGCATTTTAGTGTAATAAATGTTGATATCCACCAACATTGATAGGCACTAACAAATTTTTGTCCCTGGGCCTAAAAGTTACTACAGTCCTGAGGTAAGATCTAATAAGTTTCTTTCATATAGTTAGACTTATTCATACTGTCATAAAATTCCCTCCTGCCCAAAAACATTTTAGTGGCTCTTCCAAAGCTGCCCTATTTTATGAATGGTTTTTCCAGTCATAAAGCAGGCTGTCCTTTACATATTGAATTAGTTTGGCACCTCTGTCATAGATCAATTGCCCATATATTTGTGAACGAAGTTACTCTATTCTGTTCCACTGATTGTTATGTCTATCCTTATTCTTAAATTTTTTTAGTTATGGTAGCTTTATACTAAAATAATAATGTAGAGTAACTCATCTTTGTTTTTGAAAATGTAGTTGTTTTGGCTACATTTCTGGGCCATTTGTTTTTCCATATAAATGTAAGGATTTATATGAAAATCTTGTCCATTTCTATTAAGAAACTCATAGAAATTTCAGTTGAGATTGTATAAAATCCATAAATCATTTTCAAAAGAATTGATAATATTGAGTCTTTCCAACTATGAACAACATTACATACTGCTAAATTTTGTGAGATCTTCTTTAATTTCTTTCAGCAACGTTTTTAGTTTTTTGTACATTTGTTGTTATATGTATCCCTATATATTTAGTGTTAAATTTTTTACTTTAAATTTAAATTTTAAATTAATTTTAATTTTGTTTATGCCCAGTACTCATGTTGTTTTATACAAAGACAGTAAAGACAGCTTTATTTCTTGCTTTTCAAAACATATATATATATTTAATCCTTAATGCACAGGCTAGGACCTCTAGTGACTTCCTGATAGCAATGACGTTAATGGGTATCTTGACTTGCTCCCAAACTTAAGGGGAAAGAATTCGATCTTTCACCAGTAATAATCATCACTTTAAGATTTTCAGAGGTATTTCAGCGAATTATCTTTTCTGTTTCTAATTTGCTGAGAATTTTTATTATGAATGAGCTGCCCTTGAATTTTATCAAATGTTATTTTCACATTATCAAGATGATCTTGTGTTTCTTATTTTCTTAATTATTTTAAGGGATTTTATTTCAAATTTAATATTTTCATGTATTTGTGGATTCTCTTTGCTAAAAATGTTAAAGGTGAGCCAATTTAGATAATTTATGAGTTCCGAGATACATATTTATTTCATCTAAGTTGTCAAATTTATTGGCATTAATTCATTTATAACATTTTCTTATTAAGCTGTAGACTCCAGAGTGTTTCTCTTCTTTTATTCTTAATATTAATAATGTGTCTTCACACTGTTTTTCTTTATTAATGAATCTGGGGGTCTATTATCTTTATTAATTTTTAAAATTATTATCTTATGGTTTCTTTGCTTTTACTTTCTTCTTTGTGCATCATCAATGTCACTGAATGTTGTTTGTATAGTTATTCCCTTCCTTTCATTTAGTTTGGATTTAATTTGCTTTGCTTGTCAAACTTCCTAAGAGATCAGTAGTCATCAAATTGTCACCTGTAGGAAAAATTCATCCCACCAACTATTTTTGTAGTGCATGAAGGCTGAGTGGTTTTTACATTTTTAAATATTTGAAAAATAAAATGATATTTTGTGTAAATAAAAATTACATGTAATTCAAATTACAGTCTTCATAACTTTTTAAGAATAAAACCCTACTCATTTATTTAAGCATTGTTTATGGTTGTTTTCAAACTACAATGGCAGAGCTGAGTAGTAATGACTATAGACTAGTAAGGCTAAATTATTGCTCATCTGGCCCTTTACAGAAAATTTTGCAAACCCCTGGCTTAAATGATTGATTTAAATTTGTGTTGGTGTGCTTCTAATTTAAACATTTAAAGCTGTAACTTTCTCTTTTCACACTGTTTAATTTACATCACAAAAATTTTAAAATGCTGCTTTTTCATTTTATTTAATTCAAAATACTTTCTAATTTCTCTCTTGATTGACCTGTGGGATATTTAGGAATGCTTTCTTTGGCTTTCAAGTGTTTGAGACTTTTCCAGATACCTTCCTGTTGTTGGTTTCTGATTATTTATACTGTGGTTAGAGAACATACTTTGTATTTCTGATTTCAATTCACTTAAATTTGATGAAATTTATTTTATGGCATATTATCTGGCCTATTTTGTTAAACATTCCTTACTTTAAAATTGTGTGTATTCTGCTACTGTAGGCTGAAATGTTCTATAAATGTAAATTAGGTATATTTGCTTGATATTATTAATTTTTTCCTATGTTCTTACTGATTATATATTTATCACTTATTCAGAGGGGGTGTAGAAAATTCCAACCATGGTTCTGATTTTGCCTATTTCCCTCTTCATTACTATTAGTTATTGCTTCATGTATATTTCAGCCATTATTAAATGCATAAATGTGAAGTAGTGTTTTGCCTTCTTGATTAATTTGCTTCCTTGTCATTATGAAATTGCTATGTTTATCTCTAGTAATATAGCTTATTTTATAGTAATTTTTATTAATTTTTACTACAGTCTTTCCAGCTTTTTTATGCTCAGTGTCTTTAGGGTTTATATTTTTTCATTATCTAACTTATTGATATGATTTGGCTCTGTGTCACCACCCAAATCTCATGTTGTAGCTCCCATGTGTTGTGGGAGGGATCCAGTGGGAGATGATTGAATTATGACAGCAGGTCTTTCCTGTGCTATTCTCATAATAGTGAATGGATCTCATGAGATCCAATGGTTTTAAAAACAGGAGTTGTCCTGCACAAGCTCTGTTTGCCTACCGCCATTCACTTAAGATGTGACTTGCTCCTCCTTGCCTTCTGCCATGATTGTGAGGCCTCCCTAGCTATGTGGAATTGTAACTTTAATAAACCTCTTCCTTTTGTAAATTGTCCAGTCTTGGGGATGACTTTATCAGCAGCATGAAAACAGACTAATATACTTATCAGTCTATGTATATTTAAAGTGTGCTCTCTATATCTAATCTTATAATCTCTGCCTTTTTATTGGCCTGTCTAGATGATTTACCTTTAATGTAAATATCAATATAATAAAGTTTATAACAATCATCTTGTTATTTGTTTATATATGTTGTACCTGTTTAGTTCTTAATCCCTTTTTCCAATTGAGTTTTTTTCACCTTGAGTTTTTTTTAATTTCTCCATTATTGGTAATTAAATTCTTTTGGTTTTACATGGTTGTTTTAACATCTAAAACGTATATCTTTATTTATGATAGTCTACCTTGAAAAAATATACCCCTTATATATAAGTCACACTTAAAAAATAAGTCTTTCATTTGTTGTAATCCTTTATACCATTGTTTCCACATAATATATTTTTACACATGCCATGAACCTGATAGTGCATTGCTTTTACTTTTGATTAAAAAATTTAATTATCTTTTAAATAAAAATTAGAAATGCTATTTTATATTTATACCTGCATATTCATAATTTCTGGTATATTTTATTATTTTGAGAGGATCCAAGATTTTGTGTGGTATATTTTTTCTGACTGAAGAAATTTTTCTTAATTTTTTTTTTAGTTTTGGTCAACTGATGATGAATTCTTTTTTCTTCTGGAAAATTTTAAATTCTACTTTTATTTTGAAACAATATTTTTGCTGAGTTTAGAATTATGGATTGACAGATTTTCTTGTTTCATTATTTTAAAATGTTTTCCAATATCTTTGAACTTTCATTATTTATTCTGAGTTCTAGATGCTCTTATCTTCATTTTTCTTTATATGTGTCATGTTGATTTTCAGAAATGTAGTTATGTCTTGATATGTGTGTGTGTGTGCTTCCTCTTTGTAGTTTATTGAGATTTTTGGATTCTTATAATATAATTGTCATCAATTTGGATATTCTTGAGGCATCATTTTTTAACAATTTTTGATATTACTCTTTATTCTAGGATTTTAATGTTATGCATTTTTACACTGTTTTAAAGTATTCTAAAAGTGTTGAGTTTTAATTTTTTTCAATCTGTTTCTCTTTTCTTCACTGTAAAAATTGTATGCTATGCTTTAAACTTCATTGATTTTTTTTGTATATCTACCCCACTATTAGTCTCATCCAATAAAACTGGATGACAATAAAATTGGATAGACATCCAATAAGACTATTTTATACAGTCTATAATTTCTAGAGTTTTTATTTGGGTCTTTTTTATATATATACCATTTCCATCCTATTATGTTTCTATTTTGTTTTAAATATTTGTATAGAATTACAATAGCTCTTTATCAATTTTTGTCTTCTATTTAAGTTATGTTTATAATTCCCAGGTCTGTTTTTGTTAAGTAAGTTTAATCTAGATTTTGGGTCATAATTTATGGCTGTTTGGCTTGTTTAGTAATTTAGATTAGATGTTGAGCATTGTAATTTTGTTGTTTTTCTTTAAATAATTTTGTTTTTAAAATATTTTTGGTCTAAAATTAATTTTTAAATTATTTGCTTTGTTTGCTTTTGAGCTTTGCCAAGGCGTGTGTAGAACAGCATTCATTCTAAAGAAAGCCCAGATACCTTGCTAAGACATGGCTTCTTTTACATCTAGACTGAATGCTATGGGTAATTACTGAAGAGTGCCTCTGTGGTGACTCAGAGCTTAAACATCTGCTTGTCCTTTGTGAGCCTTTAGAGTTGCTATGCGTACAAATTCCTTGTCTTTCTTTGCCCTTCCCTTTAGAATTTTACTCCTTTCATGTGCAGCCTAGTACTCAGCAAAGAACCAAGAATCCCTAAATTCATTTCCAGAATACTTTTTCAACAGCTCCCTCTTCTCTAGAACTCTAGTTTATACTTTTAGCTGACTCAAACTTCCAAAAATTGAATTCTCATTTCCTCAGTTCAGTCTTGCCTAGGGTGTTTAGATTTATCCTTTTACATTGATAATCTGGAAATTGTCTCCAGGCTATGAAGTGGGGGGATTTTTTTCTCACATGATTTATGCACCATTTTTCAAGGATCAAACCTACACTATTTGTTGTCTGTTGTCTGGAAATAGTTTCATGTGTTTTGTGCAGTTTCTGAATATTTACGGTGGGAGGTTCTGTCTCTGTTCCTCCTTCATGGCCCGTAACAGAAATTTGTTATGTAAAATTGGTACAAAAACAAATCTTAAAATCTAAATTAAAGACATGTATTAGTGGTAAAATTTGTGTGGTCTTTATCTTAACAATAATGAGAAGAGTTGAGATAATAGGAGAACACGGGTTTTACAATTTCATGGACCTGTATTTGAATTGCAGTTGTGTTTCAAAGAACAAGTTACTTAACCTTTTCATCTTTCAATTTCTTAAAATACAAAATATTATAAATCCTACCTCATACAATTGTTGTGAGAATTTATTGAGGTATTAGGCTCACATCTTAACATGTCATTAGCTGCAGATTTGATGCATAAAAGAAAAAGGTACTATCTAAAATCTTTATGCTTATATTTGTTTTAGTTGCAATGTGTGCAATTTAACTCATTTAAATAAAAAGTCATTCTCAAGTATAAATGAAAAAAAAATTAGGCTGAACATGGTGGCTCACACCTGTAATCCCAGCACTTTGGGAAGCTGGGGCAGGAGGATTGCTTGAGGTCAGGAGTTCAAGACCAGCCTGGCTAAAATGACAAAAACCTATCTCCATGAAAAATACAAAAATTAGCTGGGCATGGTGATGCACACCTGTAGTCCCAGCTACTTGGGAGGTTAGGCACAAGAATCATTTGAACCTGGGGGGTGGAGTTTGCAGTGAGCCAAGATCATGGCACTGCACTCCAGCATGGGTGATAGAGTGAGACCCTGTCTCAACAATGAATAAATAAATAAATGAAAAAAATTTGATTTTTTTATGAGTTTTACTTACTATGTCCTCTGTGAGAATCAATAATAAATCAAGCACAAATCCCCAAGCATGGTTTGTTAGTTACAAAGTAGAATGCTTTCATTTTCTTTTAGTTACATATGTACTGATATGGTTTAGCTCCAAGGATGGTTTGTTAGTTACAAAGAAGAATGCTTTTATTTTCTACTAGTTGCATGTGTACTGATATGGTTTAGCTCTGTCCCCACCAGAATCTCATCTTGAATTGTAGCTCCCATAATTCCCATTAGTCCTAGGAGGAATCCACTGTGAGGTAATTGAAACATGGGGGTGGGTGTTTCCCATGCTGTTCTCATGATAAGTCTCACAAGATCTGATGGTTTTATAAAGAGGAGTTCCTCTACACATGCTCTCTTGCCTGCCACCACATAAGATAGGACTTTGGTTCTCCTTGCATTCTGCCATGATTGTGAGGCCTCCCCAGCCATGTGGAACTATGAGTCAATTAAACCTCTTTCCTTTATCAAGTACCCACTCTCAAGTATGCCTTTATTAATGGCATGATAACAGACTAATATATGTACTTAAGGTCCATTTTTATCACTGTATATATTATCTAAGTGGAAAGCTATTTTTATCCTACATGCTGTAATTTCCTTCACAAAAGACTGTCATGCTTTTACAATTATAGCATTTTTTGTTTACTTAATCTCTTACAGGCTCTGCCTTTTCAAGCATGTTTTGATGAAAATGACAAAGGTGATCAGGAAAAAAAGTATAATAGGAAAAATAAAATATAATCTTAAAAATATTTTTCTCCAATTTGATTGCCTATATTTGTGCCTTTACCCTCTTTTCCCTCCATTATGGAGGAGAAGAGTTGTAGGACATGATGTGTATTAGTTCACTTTCACACTGCTATAAAGAATTATCTGAAACTGGGTAATTTATGAAGAAAACAGGTTTAATTGACTCACAGTTCTGCAGGTTATACAAGAGGCATGACTGGGAGACCTCAGGAAACTTACAATTATGGTGGAAGGTGAAAGGGAAGCAAGCATGTCTTTACCTTGGTGGAGCCGAAGAGAGAGAGAGAGAAGGGGGATGTGCCACACACTTTTAAACAATTAGATCTCATGAGAACTGACTCACTATCATGAGTACAGCCTGATAATCTGCCCCCCTCCCCCAATTACCTCCCACCAGGCCCCTCCCTGACCCTTAGGAGATTACAATTAGTTATGAGATTTGGATGGGGACACAGAGCCAAATCATATCATTCCACCCCTGGTCCCTCCCAAATCTCATGTCCTTCTCACATTTCAAAACCAATCATATCTTTCCAACAGTCTCCCAAAGTCTTAACTCATTCCAGCATTAACTCAAAAGTCCAAGTCCAAAGTCTTATCTGAGACAAGATAAGTCACTTCCATCTATGAGCCTGTAAAATTCAAAAGCAAGTTTGTTACTTCCAAGATACAATGGGGGTACAGGCATTGGGTAAATTATCCCATTCCAAAGGGAGAAACTGGTGAAAACAAAGGGATATAGGCCCCATGCCAGTCTGAAACACAGCAGGATAGTCATTAAATCTTGAAGTTCCCAAATAATCTCCTCTGACTCCATGTCTCATATCCAAAGCATGCTAATGCAAGAGGTGGGCTCCCATGGCCGTGGGCAGCTGAGCCTCTGTGGCTTTGCAGGGTACAACCCTCATGGCTGCTTTCACAGGCTAGTGTTGAGTGCCTGCAGCTTCCCCAGGTGCACAGTACAAGCTGGTCAGTGGATCTACCATTCTGGGCTCTGGAGGACAGTGGTTGACTTCTCACTGCTCCACTAGGCAATGCCCCAGTGGGGACTGTGTAGGGATTTCAACACCACTTTTCCCCTCCTCACTGCCTTAGTAGAGGTTTTTCATGAGGGCTCTGCCCCTTCAGCAGACCTCTGCCTGGACATCCAGGCATTTCCATACATCCTCTCACATCTAGATGGAGGCTCTCAAACTCTTGCCTTCTGTGTATCTGCAGACCCAACACCATATGGAAGCTGCCAAGGCTTGGGGGTTGCACCTCTGAGGCAATGGCCAATCTGTATGTTGGTCCCTTTTAGCCACGGTTAAAGCTGGAGTGACTGGGACACGAGGAACCAAGTCCCGAGGCTTCACAGAGCAGCAGGGCCCTGGGCCCAGCCCACAAAACCATATTTCACCCCTAGGCCTCCAGGCCTGTGATGGGAGGAGTTGCTGTGAAGGTCTCTGACATGGCTTGGAGACATTTTCCCTATTGTCTTGGCTATTAACATTCGGCTTCTCATTACTTATGCAAATTTTTGCAGCTGGCTTGAGTTCCTCCCCAGAAAATAGTTTTTTTTTTTGTTTTTTTTTTTCCTATCACATGGTCAGGCTTCACATTTTCCATACTTTACACTCTGCTTCCCCTTTAAACATAAGTTCCAGTTTCCAACCATCTTGTTGTGGGCACATACTGTACGTTTTCAAGAAAAACCAAGTCACATCTTGAATGTTTTGCTGCTTAGAAGTTTCTTCTACCAGATACCATAAATCCTCTCTCTCAAGTTCAAAGTTCCACAGATCTCTAGAGCAGGGGAACAATGCCACCAGTCTCTTTGCTAAAACATAGCAAGAATGACCTTTTCTCCAGTTCCTAATAAGTCCCTTATCTCCATCTGAGACCTTCTCAGCCTTCATTGTCCAAATCACTATTAGCATTTAGTCAAAACCATTCAACAACTCTCTAGGAAGTTCTAAACTTTCCCACATCTTCCTGTCTTCTTTTGAACCCTCCAAACTGTTCCAACCTCTGCTTGTTACCCAGTTCCAAAGTTGCTTCTACATTTTCATGTTATCTTTATGGCAGTGGCCCATTCTGTGTGAGTCCGTTCTGACTCTTCTATAAAGAACTACCTGAGACTGCATAATTTATGAAAGAAAAGATGTTTAATTGACTCACAATACTTCAAGCTGTACAGTAAGCATGGCTGTGAGGCCTCAGAAACTTACAATCATGGTGGAAGTGAAGGGGAAGCAAGCATGTCTTTGCTATGGTGGAGCAGGAGAGAGAAAAAATGGGGACATGCAACATCTAAATGATCTTGTGAGAACTCACTCACTATCACAAGAACAGCAAGGGGGAAATCTGTCCTCATTATCCAATCACCTCCCACCAGACCCCTCCCCTGACACATGGGGATTAAAATTTGACATGAGATTTGGATGGGGACCCAGGGTCAAACCATAACTTTTGGTTTCAAAAAGACCATAGTAAGATGTTTGTGATAAAGGAAAATCAGAAAACCTAATCAGAAACCTTTGGTAAATGAAGAATGAGTATCATTCTTTAAGCAAGCCATTTACTGCATACCAGGTGCCATGTGTGTTATAGGTTCATGGGATATACCATTGAAAAACAAATTTCTACCTTTGTGAGATTGATTATTAAAGGTAACATTTCCATAGTACTTACTATGTGCTAAGCACTTTTGTATATATTAACTAATTTAAACTTTATAACAGCTCTACGAGGTAGGTAGTGTTATTATTCACATGGATCCTGAGGAACAGAGGGGTTACCTAACTTGCTCCAGGTCCCTCAGTTAGTAACAGTTAGTAACCTGTCATTAAAACCTAGTGCACTAGACCCAAAAACTTACATATTCTTTTATACGCTAGTGTGTGTGGCAGTGGAGATAACTGTGAAAATAAAGAAATAAAACATGTAGTACACTAGTTATACTATATTACATTTTGTTATACATAATGTGGAGTAAAACAGAACAAGGAAGGAAAATAATGAAAATGTGGGGTTGGGAGAGTGTAAGGGGCTACTATTTTATAGAGAGTTTTCAGGAAATACTTCACTGAGAAACTGGAATTTGAGTAAATCTATTGGTGTAGATAGATAGATAGATAGATAGATGGATAGATAGATATGGATATAGACTTATATGCCCTTTGAGGTTATCTAGATGAAAAAGACTAAAAATTCCAAATCAATATGTATATTAGTGTAGGACATTTGTTCAATTTACTATGTTTAAGTATAACCATTTTTGTCAATTGACATTAATTTTACCTGAAAAATATTCAAAGTATTCAAATAAGTATTAGTAATATATAATATTAGTGACATAAAATGAAAGCTAACGGCCTATTTTTTTCAGTGTCTGAATAATCACTAATACATTCTAATGTGATCAACTCTGTTCCTAAAATTGAATGTGATTGATCACTATAAAGTATGCACTAATACTGATTAATTTTACTGATTAAACATAACTGCTAACCTTTGCAAATATTCAGATTGTCATGTTGGAAAAAATTAACTCTAAATGCAATAATAAGCTAATGCAACTTATTTTGCTTAAACATAACACTGTTCTGGGTTTTAATATCACTAGGTATACTTGTATAGATCCCTATATAACTTACTAATAACAGCTGATGCTTGATCTAGTTTTTTATAAACGTGTCTCAATAAAGGTCAAATAAATATGTCTCAAGAAAGGCCAATAAATATGTATGTCTCAAGAAAGGCCAAAACAACATGATTTGGTTTTTAGTGAATAATGCATTTTGTGAGAAAGGAGTCTGCCATCATTTCATAAGAAGCTTTTCATTCAGGCTTCTTTTCTATACCTAATATTTTATACAATAGAATCATTTATTGCACTGCAAGTCAATTAGCCTGCAGATATATAGACATGCCTTTAAAGTACACACACAAAAAAGAACAATTAAAATCTTTGTGACAGTGTGCTGTTTCAAATGAAAATGCTATCAATGCTGGAGAAGGGAGGTTGTTAAGCATAGAGAATTATGGCAGGATTTCTCAACCTTAGCACTATTGACATTTGGGGATGGATGACTCTGTTGCGGAGGATTGTCCTGGGTATTGTAAGATATTTTCCATCCTTTCTATCTTCTACCCACTAGATGTCAATAGAAACTCCTCACCCATCTCCCTGGTTGTGACAAAATATTTTTCCATACCTTGTCAAACGTCTTCTGGTCGGGGGGTAGGGTGGGAGCAAAATCACCTCTGATTGAGAACCCCTGATATTGAAAATACCTTCTTCTTATTAATAGTTATATTGATAATAATGAATACCATTTATTGAGCAAAAATTATATATCAAGTGCTTTGACAAGTGCTAGAAATATATCATCTGGCTAATTCATCTTATCTGCCACATGAGGAAGGACAAGAGTGATGTCCTTCTTAGAGATGTGAGAGTTCAGCCTTCATGAAGCTGAATTATATTTCCAAAGTCATATGGCCAGTAAGTACCAGAGCAAGCATTAAAGCCAGCAAGTTATATCTGTCTGATATTAGGAATTATGCTCTTGCCTACTACTCCTTTACAGTGCCCTAGTTTTCTTAAAATTTGAACTTGAAATGTCTTCGATGGCTTAAGGAATCAAAATGTAAAAAGAGAAATTTATAACATATACAAACACTTTATGCTTTTTATAGACTCAGGTAAATATTATGGGTGGCATTCAGAACATACAAAATGCATCTTCTACCACATTGTTCATCAGTGAGGACTGGGGAATGTGTTTCACTGTGATTCAGTTTGGCTTACAGATCCAAGGAGGAGGAGGGCATCAGCAGGAGCACTTCTCCAGAGATTGCAAAGCCCTAAGGGTGGGACAACTGCCAGCAGGAAAAGAAAACTGAGCCAAGTGGGGAAATAAAGCCTCTCTGTGGAGAATATGTTAAGTCTGCCAAATCAACAGGATAAAATAGAGACCTGTGCCAGATTTTCTGATAACTAGGATATTAGATTAATGAATTAAAAACAAAAATGATTGTTGCCACTGCTGACCTTTGGCCAATGGCTATATCTCCCTGGGCTTTGACTAAGTTCAGAACTGAGGATGAGTGAGGGTCTTCACTCACTCTCTTCTGCTGGCAGAGGCACATAGCTGCTCAGGAAAGAGCTTTTAGCTCCAAATAGGAAAATGTCCCACCCACCCAAGGTTCTTGTGTTATTCTGGTCAGGGCCATAATAGAGAGGTATGTCTGGGGCCCGAGTCCTCCATGGGGTAGGGAAATCCCTGGATTTGTGATTTGGAAAGTGGTTCTGCAAGCGGATTCTGGACTGCTCATAGGAGGACTCTCTAGTAGATACTAAGAAAGATCCAAGTTATATTTCCTCATGAGCTCCTCTCAAGCACCATGATTGTAGCAGAGAGTTGCAGAAAACCATCTCCAGCCCTGTCAATGATTGTATTATTAAACACATAATAACTGGAAGAGAAAAGAATATATATATATATAAAGAATATATATATAAATATATGTAACAACAAAAATACAGAACTAAAAATCATCCCAAGATTTGGCATGTAGAGTGACTAACTGCTAATATGTTAGTGTAAGTCCTATTATTTAAATTATTGGTCTATTTATATATGTTTGATTTTCAGAAAAGTGGGCTTATCATACACATCTAGCTTTGTAACCTGCCTTTTTCCTCTCAATAGCAGTCATAAGCCTCTGCCCACGTTAGGAAGTGTGGATCCACAACAACCTTTTTGGTTCTTTTTCATTCTTTAGCTGCCTCATATTATTTGGCTTTCAGGTAATTTTCAAAATTTCCCTAATATAGACAATGCAGCAATTGAATGTCTTTGTAGCTATACCTGTGTATACATGTGGATTACTTCCATAGGATAAATGTCAAGAAGTAAAATTGCACAAAGAGCGTTAAAAAGAGATAAAAAACAATTGTCATTCTTATTTTTATAAATATGGAATATTAGACAACAAAGGGATCTCCTTAGTCATTTGGAATAACCCTTAAGCAAGTATATGTCTTATCTACCCTGCTGAAACATTTAACGATATGGTGGTTTTCTCATGGCAACAATCACTTCTTAGATTACAGGCAACTACTAACATAAAAACTTTGCCACTCAAAATTTGATTGTAATTCAATTGCAAAACAAATTCTTCAGTGATACAATGCTTGTAAATGCTAGCCAGTTTCTTTTCTGAGTCACTAAATAGTAATTAATAGGAATAAATCTGAATTCTAATTCAAAGCTAACAAAAATCTAATCACCCAGGAAATACTTTCCAGTTCTAGAGTGAGAAAGGTGCTGGGTTCTGAATAAGCCACTACTAGAATACATTAACAGATCAAAATGGAAACAGGTAGGTAAAAAATATACTTGTGTATAAAATCGTTTAATTCCTACTAAAAGCCAGCAATATAGAACAAGAACAAATAATGGATTATTCATTAATATTGTGGAAAAGTTGATTACTGTATTAGTTTTTTATTGCAACATGACAAATTACCTCAAATTTAGCAGCTTAAAACAATACATGTTTATTATCTCAGTTTCCATGTGTCAAGGTTAGGCTGCAATCCAGGTGTTGGCTAGGATTGCATTCTCATCAGAGACTTAAGAAAGATAAATTTCCAAACTATCTGATTGTTGGCAGCATTTATCCCTTTACAGAAGCAGAATTGAGGTCTCCATTTTCTTAAGCAGGAACTATTTTTAGCTCCTAGAAGTTGCCTGCATTTCCTTGACATGGTCCTCTGCATAGGTCTTCACACAACATGGAAGCTTATTTCTTCAAAACCAGCAAAAGAGGGAAGTCTGTATAGTAAATGCTTGCATACAAACACATATGCAGGTACATAAACATACATGCATGTATTTATATAGAGATAGACATAGACACAGACATGGATATAGAGATAGATATGTGTATATTATATATGTGTATATGTATAGGTATATGTATTTGTGTACTTGACCCTTGAATAACATGGATTTGAACTGCATGGGCCCACTGATATGTGGATATTTTTTAATAAAAGTACGTGTGCCTGCCTCTCCTGCCTCCCTTTGCACCTCCTCCACCTCTTCTGTCTCTACCATCCCTGAGACACTAAGACCAACCCCTCCTCTTACTCTTCCTTCTTACTCTACTTAATGTGAAGATAACAAGGATGAAAACATTTATAAACATCTACTTCCAGTGAATGAACAGTAATGGTAAGCTGTTATTATGAGATAGAGAGGAAGAGAGAGAGGAGTTTGATTTATTAGAAGAAATTGGCTTATGCAAATTTTGGAGGCTGAGAAGTCACAAGATCTGCAGTCATCAAGCTGAAGACTGAGGAGAACAGGTGGTATAGTTCCAGCCAAGGGCTGGAAAAAAACCAATGTAGTCCCAGTTCAAGCTATCAAGAAGGTAAAATTCTCTGTTACTTAACCTTTTTGTTCTATTCATGTCTTGAATTAATTGTGGGAGGCCCATACACATTGAGGAGGGTAATCTATTTTATCAGTGTACCTATTCAAATGTTAATCTCATTCAGAAACACCCTCACAGACAAACTCAGAATAATGTTGAATTAGTATTTAGGCACTATATGGCCCAATCAAGTTGACACGTAAATGCCTGTAATACCCTGTGCCAGATACACAAGTTTTACCTTGATGGATTTTAAACTTCAAATGAAAAGAGAACAAACAGAAAACAAAATAATACATCATAAAAATAGAAGAAAATATGCATTTTAAATGAAAATGTATATTTTACCTCTCCATAGCACAGACTTTCCTGAATATAACATTTGCATCTACTTCAGAATAAACCTCTCTACTGAAAAGCAGACATTTTGGGCCACTGTGCCAAGTGACAATGTAGCATTTGCAGGTCTATCTTTATGATTCTTTGGAAAGATATTTTGCAGAAACTGTTCTTCAACCAGCCCTTCAAATAATGTAGCCTATATGACAGTCACAAATATATCACTGAATCTAAGATTTATTGACAAGGTATGCCATTGCTTTATGTTCTATCTTGAGAAAAAAACTAATAATTAAACTTTTACCTTTATTACTCAATTAGAACTCTTTTAGATTTAGCTTAACTAGATTTTTGTCATTCTTTGACTATTAAAAATAGAAAGCGTAAATAAATTATTAGTTATGCTGGTCCTAATATTTATACACTTCCAGCATGTGACTCCTTTAATTTACCTTTCAACTCAAAGTTAATGATTACTGCTTTGTCCAAACACTATAGTACACTATCATTTATCAAGACAAATGGAAATTCAGCATATTTTAAAAGAGATTTTGCCTGTAATCCCAGCACTTTGGGAGGCCGAGACGGGCAGATCACGAGGTCAGGAGATCGAGACCATCCTGGCTAACGCGGTGAAACCCCGTCTCTACTAAAAATACAAAAATTAGCCGGGCATGGTGGCGCGCGCCTGTAGTCCCAGCTACACGGGAGGCTGAGGCAGGAGAATGGCGTGAACCCGGGAGGCGGAGCTTGCAGTGAGTCGAGATCGCGCCACTGCACTCCAGCCTGGGCGACAGAGCGAAACTCCGTCTCAAAAAAAAAAAAAAAAAAAAAAGAGATTTTGCTCTTGTTTCTAAGCCAATGACAGCCATTTCAAGTCAGTTAATTATTTTTCACTTGGGGAAAATAAGAATCTGTTTTAGTATTGGCTAATGGGCCCATATTGATTTCCTAAGGGTGCCATAAGAAAGTATTACAAGCTTGTTGGCTTAAAACAATCAAAATGTATTCTTCCACAGGTCTAGGGACTAGAAATCTAAAATCAAGATATATGCAGGTTGGTTCCTTTTGGAGGCCCCTCTCCTAGTTTCTGATGTCTGCAGACAATCCCTGGCTCCCTTGGCCTTCAGATGTATCACTCCAACACTGTTTCCATCTTCACAAGAGCCTTGCTGTCTCTTGTCTCCATGTGTACTAAGAAGCCCTCTTCTTTCTTTCATGAGGATAACAGTCATCAGATTTAAGGCGCACCCCAAATTCAGGAATATCTCATCTCAAGATCTTAACTATATCTTCAAATATCAGGTTTCTAAGTAGGGTTACATTCACAGGTACCAGGGGTTAGGATTTGGACATACCTTTTTGCGGGATGCTATTCAGTCCACTGTATGTGGTGATAATATAAACATTAGATCACTGCTATGTGTAAATAAAAGGATATTCTAAATATAAAGAGCTATAAAATATAATTTTGCATTTTTAAATTAGATTTCTTTATGGTATTAACATTAACTACTATTATTTGCTCAATTCACATATTAAATTTATATTTTGTTTTATCAACAAAATTTTACAGATGCAAATCAGGAATCAGAAGATCTAGGGGTATATGCTAATATTTTAAAGGCAACTAAGAGGAAAATAGCATTAAATTATTCATATGGAAATTAGAAACATAAACATGAGGGTTCTTAGAAATATGAATGGCAGGTAACATTACTTTTTGAGTTTCGCCACTCTTCCATTTCAGTGAAAACATGTGAAATGAAAACATGTAAAAATTTGATGCATTGTATTGGTTACTGCCCAAAAAGGACATTTAAAAATGTATCTCCTTCCTCATTTGATAGTTACAGTTCTTTCCTTCAAAGTTAGTCATATTAAATGCTTTATAGTGAATGTAGACATATATTAATTTTCTGATGGGTTCCAAAGGTAATTTTAATCTCTTGGCCTTTAGTTTCCAAAGACAGGCAAAGCTTATTCTAATAGTGGCCCTTTTTCAAGGACAATTGATTTTGTACACTTTCTTAATTTTCAAGTCTTGTTGTCAAAGAAAAGTGTGTAGTAGAACTGGTAGCAGCATTTAAAAAATGTGAGAGAAACTAAAGTATTTCAATTTACATAGGAAATAGTAATAAATTCATTATGTTCTATAAATATTGTCTTTTGGAGATACACATATGCTTTAGAATATTTATATTTGAAAGTTAGCATAAATATGTACCCATATACAACATACAAGCATATGTACATGCACAATTTTAATAATGAGGATATGCATTTCCACTGATTTCAAAATCTGTTGGTATCAGCAAACTGCTTGCTCAGGAAGTACTGTATTGAAGTGACCACTATCAATATCTTTAATATGAAAATGTGATATTAATATTAACCTAGGATATTTATGATTGTGATTACCTATTAAAAGCAGATTTCTTTGTAAATAGCTTAGTCTGTTTTTGACAAGTTACAAACTAAGCCAGGTTATAAATAGTAATAATTAAATACGTTATATTAAATTCTTCCCTGGATTTACTAACTAAAGCAAAGATTTTGCTACTTAAAACTAATTCAGCTGGCTTTAGATGTAAAGTTATTCCTCAGTATGGAAATACATTTCATTTCAGTATTGTATTAGTCTGTTTTTATGCTGCTAATAAAGACTGGCAAGTTACAAAGGAAAGAGATTTACTGGAGAACTCACAGTTTCATGTGTCTGGGGAATTCTCCAATGATGGCGCAAGGCAAGGAGGAGAAAGTCACATCTTACATGGATGGCGGCAGGTAAAGAGACAGCTTGTGCAGACAAACTACCACTTTTTAAAACCATCAGATCTCATAAGACTCATTCACAATCAGGAGAACAGTGCAGGAAAGACCCATCCCCATAATTCAATTACCTTCCACTGGGTTCCTCCCAGGACATGTGGGAATTGTGGGAGTTAAAATTGAAGATGAGATTTGGGTGGGGACACAGCCAAACTGTATCAACTATGATTTGAATTATATCATTTGTTTATTCACAGATATTTTAATAATATAATACTTCATTCAGTTATTTGACAAATATTAATCAAGTGCTGACTACATGTCATTCACTGAGTGGAAGGCACCCTTAAAGAAGGCAGCTCAAGACTTTACCTCTTGATATTCACACCTTTTGAAATCTCTTCTACTCATGAGTGGAATGGTGATTCAGTTCTAAAAAACAGAATAGGGAAAGGAATAGGCTGTCACTTCAAGGATTAAGTTACAAAACGACTGACTTCTGTCTTGTTTGCCTTCTCACTTGCCTGCTCAGATGGAAATCAGCTTCCAGTGTGAACCACTCTATGGACAGACTCAAATGGAAAAGAACTGATGGAGACCCTCAGCTCACGACTGGCAAGGAATTGACATCCTCAGTTCAAAAACCTGTGAAGAGCTGGATCCTGCCAACAACCACGTGACTGAGCTTGGAAGAAAATCCTTCCTCAAATGAACCTTAAGATACCTGAAACCCCAGTGGAATCCTTGATTGCTTAATTGTAAGAGACTATGAGCAGGAATATCCAACCTAAGTGAAAACACAGGAACTGTAAGATAATAAATGTGTGTTTTAGTAAGCTGCCAAATTTTCAGATAATTTGTTAAGCAGCAATAGATATTTAATACACACTACTTATGTACAGATGCTCCTAGACTTACAATAAGCTTGTCCAACCTGTGGTCTGCAGGCCGCATGTGGCCCAGGACAGCTTTGAATGCTGTGCAACACAAATTCATAAACTTTCTTAGAACATTATGAGGGTTTTCTGTAATTTTTTTTTTTTTTTAGCTCATCAGCCTTTGTGAGTGCTAGTGTATTTTATGTGTTGCCCTAAACAATTCTTCCAGTGTGGCTCAGGAAAGCCAAAATATTGGATGTACTTGACTTAAAATGAGGTTACATCCAGATTACCCCTTTAGAAATTGGATATAGCACAAATCCAAAATACATTTAATACCCTGAAAAATCTATCATAAAGTTGAAAAATCACAAGTTGAATCATGGTTAAGTAGTGGGCTGTCTGTATACTACTGGGAACTTCATAAACTAGCAGGTAGCAGATAAAGTTTAATAACAATTTAGTTCTTTAAGTTGGGGCAGATTAGAGTATGTTGATGTAGGAATGTTGGTTTATGTGTGTGCACATACCTGTGATTTTTATACTTGCTTGATTTAAAACATATGACTATTTTTCTGAAACGTGATATCTGCCTCATAACTCTACAGGTATGGACAATGATAACGTTCTGAATTAATTCTTATTAGACAAGAGATTATAGCACATAATAAAATTTTTATCACCTTTTTGACCTGAAATAGTTAGTTCTTAATTTCAATTGCACCCCAGTATTTTGTCTTCTTTTCTTGCAATGTATTCTTCCAATTTTAAAAAGAAGATTTCACGGGGACGGGATAGCTGATTAGAAGCAGCTGCAGTCCATGGCACTCACAAAGAGAAATGAAAAGGGAGAGTGTATTCAGCACCTTCCACTGAAATATCCAGGTTCTCACACTGGGACTGACTAGACAAACAACCCATTGAGAATGAAGAAGAGCAAAGTGGGGTAAGAGCCCATCCAAGAGTAGCATGGAGCCAAAGGAACCCCACCCCTGGCCAAGGGAAGCAGTGAGTGACTGTGCGAGCCTGCCTGGGAAACCACCTTCTCCCACAGATCTTTGCAACCCTTGGATCAGAAAATACTCTCATGGGCCCATGCCCGCAGGGCCTTGGGTCTGATACACAGAGCTGTGTGGAGTCTTGATGGAGCAGTTGTTCAGGCACTCACAGAGACCTAGGAGTTTTACATACTCTGCCCCAGGATACCCGGCAAGGCAGGAGATCCATTTGTACATATCCCTAGGAAGGGGGGCTGAATCCAGGGAGCTAAGCAGTGCTGTTCTGCAAGTCACACTTCCACAGCACCTCACAAGTTAAGACCCATTGGCTTGGAATTAGCTAGCCAAGGCAACAGGCTGGAATCTGCCTGAGACAGGACCAAGTTCCCAGGAGGAGGGGAAGCCACCATCTCTGCAGTTCCATTGACTCAGCCATTTCAGCTTGCTGGCTTTGGAAAGTCCAAATGGTCTGGATGAGGAAGGGTTCCCCCCACAACACAGCACAGCTGCTCTACCACAAAGCAGCCAGACTGTTTCTTTAAGTGAGTCCCTGATCTTGTTCCTCCTGACTAAGTGAGACCTCCCCACAGGGGTCTCCAGCCGCCTCTACACCTTCATTCAGGCTGGCAATAGGTCAGTACCTCCTTGAGACAGAGCTTCCAGAAGAAGAAACAAGCTGCCATCTTTGCTGTTTCACAGCCTTCACCAGTGATACTTCCAGGTACAGGAAAAACTAAGGCAACTAGGGTCTGGACCTGACCACCAGCAAACTGCATCAGCTGTATGGAAGAGTGGCCTGACTATAAAAAGAAAAACAAACAAATGGAAAACAACAACAACAACATCAACAAAAAATACCCCACTAAAACCCCATTCAAAGGTCAGCAACCTCAAAAATCAAAGGTAAATAAGCCCGCAAAGATGAGAAAGAATCAATGCAAAAATGCTGAAAACTCAACAAGTCAGTGTGCTTCTCCTCCAAATAACTGCAGCACCTCTCTAGTAATGGCACAGAACTGGGCTGAGGCTGAGGTGGTTGAACTGACGGAAGTAGGCTTCAGAGGGTGGGTAATAACAAACTGCTGAGCCAAAGAAGCATCTTGTAACCCAATGTAAGCTGAAAAACACAACATGAGAACTTCACAATGCAATTAGAAGTATCAATAGCAGAATAGAACAAGCAGAGGAAAGAATCTCAGAGCTTGAAGAATATCTTTCTGAAATAAGACAGGCATGCAAGAATAGAGAAAAAGAATGAAAAGGAATGAACAAAACCTCTGAGAAATATAGGATTATGTAAAGAGACTGAAGCTACAACTGATTGGGGTACATGAAAGAGACAGGGAGAATGGAACAAAGTTGGAGAACTTATTTCAGGATATTATCCAGGAGAACTTCCCCAACCCAGCAAGACAGACCAACATTCAAATTTAGGAAATGCAGAAAACCCCAATAAGATACTCCATGAGAAGGTCATCTCCAAGATATAAAACATCAGACCCTCTAAGGTTGAAATGCAAGAAAAATGTTAAGGGCAGCCAGAGAGAAAGGTCGGGTTACCCACAAAGGGAAGCCCATCAGACTAACAGACAACATAGCAGCAGAAACTCTATAAGCCAGAAGAGATTGGGGGCCAATATTCAACATTCTTAAAGAAAAGAAATTCCAATTCAGAATTTCATGTCTGGCCAAACTAGGCTACATAAACTAAGGAGAAATAAGATTCTTTCCAGAGAAGCAAATGCTAAGGGAATTCATTGCCACCAGGCCTGCATTGCAAGAACTCCTGATGGAAGCACTAAATATGGAAAGGAAAAACTGTTACCAGCCACCACAAAAACACACTGAATTACACAAACCAGGGACACTATGAAGCAACCACAGAAACAAGTCTGCAAAATAGCCAGTTAGCATCATGATGACAGGATCAAATTCACACACAACAATACTAACCTTAAATGTAAATGGGCTAAATGCCTCAATTAAAAGATACAGAATCGCAAGCTGGATAAAGAGCCAATACCCATTGGTTTGCTGTCTTCAAGAGACCCATTTCACATGAAAAGACACATAGAGGCTCAAAATAAAGGATGGAGGAAAATTTACCAAGCAAATGGAAAACAGAAAAAAGCAGGGGTTGCAATTCTAGTTTTTAACGAAACAGAATTTAAACCAACAAAGATAAAAAAGACAAAGAAGAGTATTACGTAATGGTAAAGGGTTCAATTCAAAAAGAGGAGCTAACTATCATAAATATATATGCACCCAATGCAGAAGCACCCTGATTCATAAAGCAAGTTCTTAGAGACATACAAAGATGTTCACACTCCCATGCAATCATAGTGAGAGACTTTAACACCCCTCTGATAATAATAGACAGATCATCAAGACAGAAAATTAACTTAGATATTCAGGACCTGAACTCAGCTCTAGATCAAGTGGACCTGATAGATATCTACAGAATTCTTCACTCCAAAACAATAGAATATACATTATTCTCATTGCCAGACAGCATTTACTCTAAAATTGATCACATAATTGAAGTAAAACACTCCTCAGCAAATGCAAAAGAACAGAAATCATAGCAGTCACTCAGATCATTAGAGAAACGCAAATCAAAACCATAATGAGATACCATCTCCCACCAGTCAGAATGGTATTATTACAAAGTCAACAAACAACAGATGCTGGTGACTTTGCAGAGAAAATGGAACACTTTTGCACTGTTGGTGGCAGTGTAAATTCTTTCAACTACTGTGGAAAACAGTATGGTAATTCCTTAAAGACCTAGAGGCAGAAATACCATGTGACTCAGCAATCCCATTACTGGGTATATACCCAAAGGAATATAAATCATTTTATTATAAAGATACATGCACTTGTATGTTTATTGCAATGCTGTTCACAGTAGCAAAGACATGAAATCAACCAAAGTGCCCATCAATGATAGACTGCATAAAGAAAATGTGGTACATATACACCATGAAATACTATGCAGCCATAAAAAGGATAAGATCATGTCCTTTGCAGGGACATGGATGGAGCTGGAAGCCATTATCCTCAGCAAACTAACACAGAAACAGAAAAGCAAACACTACATGTTTTCACTTATAAATGGAAGCTGAGTGATGAGAACACATGGACACATGAGCGGGCGAACAACACACACTGGGGCCTGTCAGAGGGGGTGTTGTTGGGGGAGGGAGAGCATTAGGAAGAATAGCTAATGGATGCTGGGCTTAATACCTAGGTGATGGGATGATCTGTACAGCAGAGCACCATGGCATACATTTACCTATGTAACAAACCTTCACTTTCTGCACATGTACATCTGGACTTAAAAATAAAAGTTGAAGAAAAAAAAAAAGAGGACTGGAGATGTGGCCATAACACAAACTATAAATGGGGAAAATGAATGATTGTAACTGGGTAAGCAATGTAAGGAACAACATGCTGTTTAACTTATTTTGCAAATAGAAATAGAGCATCCATTATACCACATTCATCAAAGCATATACCTGTTTTAGAAATATGAATCAATATTAATCATGTACTACATTTGTTATATAAATTGAAAATTTGAAACATGTAATTAGAATGAATTTAGAACATGAGGAAAGTTTGTCTGAATAATTAGCTCCCTCTACGATGTTTTTAGATGGCTCTAGCTTTCCTTTGCCCATTCCTGAGAGATGAAGCTTGGGGGAAATCTATCTATTTAGACTTTTTGGCTAAGACTGAAAATAAATATTTTCTTCCTTTACAACCATATAAACTTTTGAATATAAACCCATTCATATGTCCTTTTTTGTTGTTTGGTATAGAAAATATGTATGTCATTTCTTTGTTTATATTTTTAACATGTATTATAACTATTTTTTTCTTCTAAGAGAAAATAGAGGACTTGGCAATGTTCAGTTCTGTATTCAAAACATGGTTCTGTAACAAGCTAATGAAAGATAATTATATTTTTTGGAGCAAATATATTATCACGTTGCTCCTTTGTGTTTTGTAGCACATTAGATGCTACAAAAAATTTAATGTGTAGAGACATACTAAAGTTGGTGCTAGTAATAGACCATACATTAGCTGCTTTTTAAAGAAGAAATACCAGAAAGAAATATGAGAAAATGCCCAGTGATTTTTTTATTCCTTGTGGTGAGGGATGTAAGATATATATATTATCAATGTATCTTCATCCTTGTTCTGATCTAGAAACTGTGTCTAGTTTAAGGAAAGGAAGATGACATAATTTTCAGAGCACTTAACTCCACATTTTATTGACTATTGTATTGGAGAATTTCCCCTTGCCCAAGTAAAAGCAAACAATCCTATAACAACAGAACTAGTTAGCAATTTGCCAGAGAGATTCTCACACTCTTAATCTTTTTCTTAATAACTCAATACATTTCTTGAGTGGAGTAAAGGAAAATCTGTTAAGATTTTTAAAGTGAACTTCCATATATTTTAGTAGTTATTGAATTTATATACCTATGTAATTACTTCTCATTATAGCAACTGCTAGGTACTAGGTAGAAGAAAATAAAACAGAAGACAAATATATTTCATGTCCATCACCCATATATTTGAAGGTCAATCTATCTGAATTTCTTAATAAATGATCCTTTCTTTCTTGAAGTAATACAAAAATTATAAGAACTATAGAGTACTATCTTTATTACTTTGAAATAATTTATTTTATTCATGTTGTTGCCCAATATATGAATATGCTAGTCTACAAATATACTCCATAGGAAATTGAAACTTAAATTGCTATCTCAACTAGTATACTAAAGATTCTGTTCTCAAAAATCAAATGCATTGAAAAACAATGAAAATTAAAGCAGCATTTCTGATTTCTAAATGATAATATATTATAGACTACAAAGATAATTATAAAAGAGAATCTCTAAATATTCTTGAAAAATGTTAACATCTTAATTGTATGCAGACCTAGATTGACTCTTTAAGAACATATATGTGGATCTAGAAATTCCAATGTACTCCTTAAAAAATTTACATTATTACATACATAATTCTTCCATGTTTAATGTTCTAGATTTATAGTGTGGTACATCCACCCATTTTAAAAAGGGTATAATCTTTATTTTGGTATAATTTCTGGGATCCCTAGAGACCATGTTATTTTAATTTGTGTGTGAATGCTATCATGGTTAAATTAATTCTCCCTATTCTTAATTAAATGTATCCTTCCAGATGGAGCATTTTCTGTTAGTAGATTAAACAAATTATTAGATAAGCCATTAAAATAAGTATTAGTTGTTATCTTGAAGAAACTGCAAAAAAAAAAAAGCTGTGAAATGTCATTAATGGATGAAACTTGCTTTAACTGAGTGAGTTCATTACAAAGAAATGTATACATTTAAGCTTTCTGGAAAACTGAGTGGGCCAAAAATATTTAAATAAATGAGGTTTACAATACTTTAACAATTGCTGTTGAGTCAATAAAACCTTAAAAAATTGCCCTTGCTATGTAGGTGTTTTTCTGTATATGAAGAAAAGACATAATTGGTATCGATTAGCTTGATTAGTATTGTTTATATTGATTGACTATAATTAAACTATCCCAAATGAATTTCCTTGATTGGTATAAATTGAAACAATTAACAATCAATGCTACATTAAATATTTTTTTAAAATACCAGTATAATGCATGTTAATGGAATATATTCCTGGTAACTTCTCTTTTATTCTTATTGAACTCTGTCACTTTAAGTGATTCTATTTTGTTATTGCTATCAATAGAATCTAGGGGGATAACTTGTTTTCCTTTAAAAGCAAAATTCAGTGAAAGAAGGGCTAGGTAGGTTATTTAGGATTCATCTGTTTTAAAGCACTATCCTCAAATGTTACTACGTGGAAAAATCATATGGGGAACTGGTTAAAATACAATCTGATTCAATACTTTTGGGCTGGGGTTTGTAATTCTGCATTTCTTGTCCCAGTTACCATAGATGCTGTTGGTTGATAAGCAAGTTTTCAAAGAACAAGAGCACATTCTCCCTTTTCTCTTGGGATTTACTAGTGTAGACATGTATCAATTGCATCATGGCTAGTAAGTTTAGTTTGCCGTAATAAAACTGTATATCCTCCCCTAAAGGCAATATCAAGATACTTCATTGTTTATATTTTCTCCATATAATCATTTCTTTTTTATTGATTTAATTAACTAGTGAAACTATCTTCCCCTTGAATCCTAAAATGAAAAAGAAAACCCTCTGAACTCCTCCTCATATTAAAGTATTGCCTCCTCAAACCATCATTCAGATGCTTTCCTCATTTTTCTTGTTAGCCTTTTACAACCTTCCCAATTTAGATGATTTTTTTTTTTCATTTTTGTTTCCCGTAGTTTGAATACAGAATATAGCTGGATTTGAAAACAGGGTAAAAGACTCAGTGGTAATTGTAGCACATCATACTATGTATTACATGTTGCACTAGGGAAAGAGTGGAATATGTTTTCTATCCAAGAAAAACATAATGAGATTTCTCTGTTTTCTTTCGAGTTGTCCATCCATCTCCATACTAAGACTTCCATGACAAGTATGAGCTCTGTGCCAAGGGGAAGCTCTGAAGTTCCCTTCCAAGAGCTCCTACAGGGACTACGTGGAAAGTGTCCCTGGCTAGAACCAACTGCTTTCCCCCATAGCCTTCACTCTGACTATGAGTTAATCAATCAGAAATATAAAAATTGTTGCAGAAATAATACAAGTAAATTAAATTGTCTTTACTATAAAGCCTAAAAGGGTATAATATTACAATCTCCTTGAGGACGAAATCTACTTATTTCAATAATTAAGAAAGTTTGGGCAATATATAAGTGACCAAAGGGTGGGAGTTTTTCCAACTTGAATAAACCTAGAACGTGAGAATGTATTTCAAAATGAGAGTTCCACAAAATTGTTAGAGGAGTTCTTATTTAAGAACCTAAAATCTTAAACTGTGAATATAAATTTCAATAGAGAATTGCCATTGACTTAAGAATCTAAAGTCTTAAGCTATGATTATAAAATTCAGATGCTCATTTGAAGATTACATTTGAAAATTGAGGCTTACCAGCCTGATGCCAGTAGGGCATGCTTGAAAAAATATTTGTAAACTAATACTGCCACTTAGGTTGAACTCTGTTACTTAAAAATTGGAATCTGGATACAAGCACTGAAACCACATGGCAATATTCAGTTATAAAGAGTTTACAATAGGTAATCCAGAAATGTTTTCTATTATTTTTAATAGAATATTAAATTCTATTAACTTTTAATATGTTTAACCGTTAATGAAATAAAGATGCAAACTAAATAAAGTCTGATAGATGACCCAGAAACCCCTGAGAATATGTTCACTTACTAGTTTTCAGATATTTGTATAAATTAGGGATTAACAAACTTTTATAAAATGTAAAAAACCATATTTAGCTTTCAGGCAATACAAAAACAACTAAAAAGAAGGAATAAGCCCATGGGCATAATTTGTTGATCCTTAGTATAAACAATGCATTATGAGTTCAATATTGAAATGGTAGGGGATCAATGTGTACTGAAGTCCTTGATTTCAAAGATTAGATGGGTTTTGGAAATAGAGCATCATGAGGAAGGTATTGAGCACAGCAGAAATATATGCACTTGGAAATATCTTAAAGAAGATTAGAAAAAAGAGACATTTGTCACTTTTAAGACAGGGAGGAGGTTGAATTTTAGAGTCTTGCTATTGAATGTTACCCCACAGCTTTCAAGTTTGTTATGATCTAGGATAAGAGCCTGATGAAACGCTTCAGGGGAAGATCATTCTAATGGTCATATGCAGGATGAGATGATTTTACCGAAGGCAGGAAAAACAGAAGACTAGTACAGAAATTCAAGTATGACAAATTGACCTAGAGAAGTGGTAAGAAAAATAGAGATGAAGAGAAAATAAAGTTGCACAAGTATGTTAATAATCCACTTGGAATCTGACCTGATGATATCTTTAAGTTAAGAAGATGAAAAAGGAATTTAAACATATTTCTAAAGGTTTGAATTCACGTAACAAGAGAAATGATGGTACCATTGATACTAATAGTGACTTCTGGAGAGATGAGCAGTTTAAGAAGAAAGATTTTGATTTTTGCCTTGAGTTAACAAATCTGAGGCTACTAAATGAAAATGCCCAACTGGTAGATAAATATAGAAAAGCCAATATATTTGTGAAACAGTAAGGAAAAGAAAAACGATTGAGAGAGACTGGAGAAATAATTAGAACTGTGGAAATATTAAAATATGATAATATCTCCAAGATTTGGGAGGAGTTTGAAAGAGACAGAGGTGGTTTATTGTGTCGAATTTATAAATCTCTATTTTTGGCTGTCAGGCTTACAATTCTATTTTGAAGGTGCAAATAGTCATATTCTCACCCTTTGGGAATGTTCAATTTCTATTTAAACATAAGCACTTGCTGTGTGAGTGACTGCATCTCACTGCTTTCTAGCGTGAGGCGAAGCTGCAACAGAAGGTTAACAAAGGATTTTTCTGGTAGGTGTATTTGTCCCACTACATGAAATATAAGCGTTATAAGCAGAGCATTATAATCTCAGGAAGGATTTTGCTTCAGGCTCATCTCTTCTCCCATGGGATATGGATATGTGTGCATGAGCCAATTTGCACCCCTTCACAACACTTTCATTCGTCTAAAATTACAATACCATCGTTATGTGATTTCTATGCACCCGGAGGAATTAAGCTCATCATTACTATTATGACAGTAAAATGCTCTTAAGAAGTTGCTATGTTGGAAGTTTTCCCAAATGATTCATTGAATTCTCGTGCCTTATCTTTAAGTATATAATTTCCCATTTCCATTTTTAAGATACTTAACATGTATTGTAACTAGTGTTTTTAAAATATTTATTTAAGATAATTTTAGTAAATCTTACATCATTTACAGGAAATAGACTATTCTGTAATTTGCCTATCAGAATTTCTTTGTTCACAAATTATACATGTGAATGTAGGAGTTTGGTATTACATGACCAGCCACAGTGGGGATATGTTAAAGCACTTTTATTTCCTGATTAGCACAAGTTAAATGACTGTTTGAACACTACCTCTAACTAGAACACATCTATCTTTCATGTCTTTCATCTGGAACACAGATCAGTGAAGCACCTAAATTAATCATCCAGAACAATTCAGTGAATGGAATTTTTAATGGATTTAGGAGTTATTTATCCACAGATTAGGACATTCTTCTCTGATTATTTAAATTGTTTAGTTTTTAGAGAAGCAAAAGTTAAAATTTCAGATGTCTTTGATTAACATGTTTCCAAACTTACAAAAATGCTAAGTAAAACAGATAATAAGCTGTTTATATTTGGCAGCTGATTATCTTAATTATCCTTGTCAGCTGGGGATGGGTTATTCCTGTAGCTTTGTTTAGAAACAGTAGTGAAAAAGCGAGGGATGTACCTTGTTTTGCCTCGCAGAGGAGGGGATAACATAAATATGTAATAAACCATCAGACATGATATGTACACGAAATAAACTTTATATATTTGCTAAAAAATAAATTAATGCTTTTTTAAAAAAGCCACATTTTTGTTTTATAAATTGAAATCAGGAAAAACTATGAGCTCTATTTTACGAAACCACCCACCATTACCTTGTGACCTTATTCTCCATCTCTGCTCACTATACCCAACTGATTTCTCTGAGTAATGCTGTATTTGGATAAAGAAACAGTTTATGAGAACATAGGTTGTTCATAAGAAATTATATTATTAATAATATACTCATCTATAAATATTATTACCTCATACATTATGTTATTTGTTCAATAAATGGGTATAATAGAAATTATTCCAATTTTACTTTTCAAGGCCAGAGCAGAAACCTATGCTTTTGTAGTAAACACACCAGTATAAAGAAGGTGATTAAACAATGATGTGTCCTTGTCCATGCACACGTGGAACCCAAGTTTAGTTCAAAGTCTATGTGGAAAGAATGTTTTCCCATGGTCTGACACCTCTAGACTGGATGGAAATGTTTAGAGCAGGAGAACATTGATCCCTAAGGAGAGTTTGGACATGGCTGCCTACCTCGGAAAGACAATCCAAGCATTGCTTTGCTTTCCCTCAAGTGAAAAAAGGAAGACCAAGACTTCAGTGGGAGGGACAGTGAACGAGGCAATGTCCCAGAACAAATTCAGCTGGCTTAGGGCCGTGTTGGTTGTCTTAGCAAGAAAAAAGCTTAATAGAGGATACCTTTTATATCATTTATTGTTCATTGTACATACATAAACACCAATAACTATGGTTCTCATTATTGAACTTGGATTGTGTCATTTTCAAAAAATCCTTTTGTTTTCTTCACAAAGCCCTAAGTTAAATAAACCCATGATATAATGTATGTAGACATTATATTATAATGAGATTACAATATAATGTAGCAGACATCATATTATAATGAGATTACAATATAATGTAGCAGACATCTGTTGCTATACTGAATAAGCCAATATTTATTACCAAATCATGAATGTGTCACTGGAACTCCTGGCCTTAAGTGATTCTCCCGCATCAGTCTCTCAAAGTGCTGGGATTACAGGAGTGAGCCACTGTGGGGGACAAAAATTATTTTCTTTGTATACTTTTTTTTTTTAGAGCTTTCATATGTTTTATTATGAGTAAGGTAAGAACTTAGATCTGGCTTGAACTGCCAAGATTTCATTCCCAGTTCTGGCACTTATTATCTGTGTGCAAGTCAAGCTCTTGATGTTCAGATTCTTCATTTGCAATGAATTGACGGCATGAAACTAAGACTTAAATACACTGAAGAATAGAAATTTCAACAATATTACTATTAATTTATTTGTTTAATTTTAATTAATTTTCCAATGATGAGTAGTAGAGAAATATCTTAATTTTTGAGTGTTAGATACCCCAAAATCTAAGAACTAACTTGCATGAATATTACCTTAACTGGAGTTATTTCTGTTAGGTTATGCCATGGTAAAGCTGATAACACTAGACTATTTCTAGATTTATAAAATGGCAATAATTAAATCAGTGCAATATTGACCCAAAAATAGACAAATAAATAAATGGAAAAAGTAGACAATCCAGAAGTAGATTCACATACATTTGGAGAAGTGATTTTGATAAAGCTGAAAGGGGTTTTGGAGTTAACATTCTGGGATGATTTTAGAATTAAGATACAGCCCACTTAACTCATAAACAGAAAAAGAAGATTAGCTTTCTTAAATTGTTTTATTTTAACCAAACACACATTATTGCTGCTCTCTGACAATGAATAGTGTGCTTGAGTATTACTTACAACCTGTAATATTTCTATACAGCTGGCTACAAATCATGTGCATTTACCTCCAAATGATTGATAGAAAACCCTATATATAGAAAATCATGCTAGAAATAATATAGTTAGAAAATAAAAGCAGAGTGAAATGGAAAGAGCATGACTTTACCAGCTTTGCTTCACTCAATATTATGAGCAAGTTATTTAACTTTGCTCAGTCCACAATTGTTTGTGGCATATAAAAGGTTACCAGAGAGCTCTAGTTCAGGTGGTATCACAGAACACAGTATCAAACAAACGTATCCACAGATAATGATTTATAAATTTTAGAATATAAACACACAGATAAGCACATGCACACACATAGACAAACACGCTATTTCAAGGCACTGGAGAATGACTAAAAGCAGAAAGAATCAGTTGATAATTTGAGACAAAACCAAGTCAAAACTGATCGAGATTGTCTTGTTGGAAGTATTTTGCAAACGATGGCTCACTCTCGAGCATAAATCTATTAACTTTATCAGATTGAGGGGTCAGAAGATATAGTTTAGGACTAGTAGAACAGCTAGAAAATTAAGCATGGGAAAATATATCAGAATAAATGGAGAGGTAAAAAATATTTAGAAATACCCCTTCAAATATTTGGCTGGGCACAGAACTGTGCATTTGTTGAGGACACTAAAAAAAAAGTGGAAAGGAAAAGATGAAATGCTGAAAAACTTAAGCAGAAATTTCAGCTGCTACCCATCTCACAGGAGACATAATATTAATTCCTGCCAAGGTGGAGTTGCTTGTAAATACCTTGGGCTTTCCACTAACAGTAATGCATTAGGAATAATGAGTTCGTCCCTGAACTAGGAGATTTACTCTTGGAATAAGGAAAATGTAAAACAGGCCCACCTTGATAGAGCATAAAACCAAGTTCCTAATTGTACAAGGTGATATGCCAATTACTTAATTGAGGGCTAAAGAAAAATTAACACTCCTAAAAGGAGGATAACAGAATCCAGAGTCTCTACAATGTCTTATTATACATATTTACATTATATCATTCTACACTTGAAGAAATAGGAAAATCTACTCCATAATGCTGGAATTAGCCGAAATGTACTTTAAAGCTGCTATAAAGAAGTAGAGGCCAGGCATGGTGGCCCTTGCCTATAATCCCATCACTTTGGGAGGCCAAGGCAGGAGGATCACTTGAGTCCAGGAGTTTGAGATCAGCCTGAGCAATATAGCAAGACTCTGTCTCTACCATATATTTATTTTATTCAATAAAATTAGCGGGGTATGGTAACATTAGCCTATAGTTCCAGCTACTTGGGAGGCTGAGGAAGGAGGATTGCTTGAGTCCAGGATTTCAAAATTTCAATGAGCTATGATTGTGTCACTGCACTTCAACCTGGGTGACAGAACAAGATCCCATCTCTCTAAACAAAACAAACAAACAAAAATTAAGAATTGAAGCAGTGGTTCTCAACTGAGGATAATTATCAATCCCCAAAGTGGACATTGGCAATGTATGGCAGAATTTTTTCTTGTTGCAACTGACTGGAGTGCTGTCAACATCCAATGAGTAAAGGTCAAGGGTGCTGCAAAATATCCTACCATGCACAGGACAGCCTCACCCGACAAAAACTTATCCAGCTCAAAATGGCAATACTACTGTAGATGAGAAACTCTAACTTAGAAAAATGTAATGTCAGCATGAATGAACATCTAGGGATTCTCTGCAGAGAAATAGAAACTATGAACAAAAGACAAAATGATATTCTACATCTTTATTATTAAGGAAATGAAATTTAAAACTACAAGAATAGATAACATCACATTAAGTAGAATAGATATAATAATTTAAAAAGGCAGAAATAATGTGGGGGTAAGGATGCAGAGCAACTGGAACTCTAATACATTGAGTATTGGGATGTAAAATGGTGTAGTCTCATTGAAAGAAAGTTTTCATTTTTTAAAAAAAGTACAACAAACTCACCGTATGACACAGCAATTCCACTTCTGCAAATCTACAGAAGGTAAGTGAGACATATGCATGTACAAAGATTTTTACATTTAGTTTCACAGCAGAAAAATGTCCTAAAAAAGGGGAAACATATTAAAAAGTAACAAAATGATACATGCTGCAGCATAGAAAAACTTCATAAATGTTATGCTTAGTGAATAAAATCTGATGCAAAAGACTACATATACTATGATTCCATTTATAAGAAACGTATATATAATGGGAATCTAAAGAGTAAGCATATTAGTTGCTACTTGAATTTGCAGGTAGAAATGGTTATCAACTTCAGAGTTGGAATGATTAATTTTGAAATGATGGAAATGTTCTAGAGCTACCATCACAATTCTATCAACATATTTAAAAGCATTGAATTATATACTCACAATTGACACATTTTATGTAATGTAAATTATACCATGATACAGCTGTTGAGGAGCTATTTTTAGTTTATAACTAACTCTAAATGTTAAATAATCAAGTCCATTAAAAATAATAAAATGGTTAAACCCCTAGTTAGCTAGAGTGTTCATTGAAAAATGAGAAAGGAAAAAAAATTCAAATTAAAATATCAGTAATAAATGAAAGATAAAATTACAATTCTATAGATATAGAATAACTAATAAAAGAATATTATAAATAACTAGGTTACTGAATTCAAATTATTTAAAGGAAAAACTAATTTTTTCAAGAACACACCAAAAGGACAAAATAAGAAATAGAAAACTGAATTGCTCTTTATCTGACAAAGTATTTGAATTGTAATTCAAAACTTTCTCCAGGATTAAATTTCATGACTACATGGTTTCACTGGGTAATTTTTTTCAATCATTTAAGAAGAAATCAAAGAAATCATATGAATCTTACAGGGATGCATTCAGAAGTAGAGGAAGTAAGAACATGTCACAACACATAAATGACAACAAATATTCCTAACAAGGACATTATAAAAAAAGAAAATTACAAACCAATGCTCTTCATGAACAGAGACACAAAATCCTTAACAAATTGTCAGATTCAACAAAGAAGACTTTATCTTGCAAATGAAAGGTTTTAGTTTTAAAAACAGAAAACTAAACACTACAGTATAGTGTATGTATAGAATCAAGCCACATTCATGGGGAAATTCCAAAAAAATGCAAAAAAAAGCATATGACGTGATTCAATAGCCATTCGCTTACAAACGTTCTACAAGCTAGAAATACAAAAAAGTCCTTCAAAATATAATAAAGGTCATCTAGAAAAATCGTACAATTAACATCACATCTATTGATACAATATTAATTTCTTTCTACCTAACATTGAAAAAAAGCAAAAATGTCCTATCTCACCACTGCTTTTCAACATTTTGCTTCATACCCTAGGCAGCACAATAAGACAAGAAAAGGAGATCAAAAGTCATAACAATTAAACAGGAAAACATTCAACTGCAATTATTTCCAGACAAAATTGTGTCATTAAAAATTTTTAAAGAATTTATACACACAATACACGTAACCTGCTAGAACTTATTAGTGAATTTCAAACATTTATAAGACACGAGGTCACTACAGAAAAATTATTTGTATTTATATATAGTAGCAACAAAACATTTGAGGATAATTTTAAAATTATTTAATTGCATCAAAAACTTAAAATAACACTAACATAATAAAAAAGTATGTAGTAACTCTAGATTGGAAATTACTAGACATTATTGAGAAGAATTAAGACATAAATGGAGACATACTGTATTCTTCAAACGGAAGACAAAATTGTTACTATGTGAAATTTCTCCATATTTATCTGTAGGTTCCCTGTAATCGCAGTTATTTCCCAAGAGTGATTTTTGAAGAAAATGAAAGATAAACTTTAAAAATTTATATAAAAATGTAAATGGTCTAAAAAACAATCTGAAAAAGAAAACAAGTTGATTTATACTGCTTATCTTTAAATTTACTTTAAAGGCACAGGAATTAATAAGGATATACAAATAGATTAAATGAAACTAAAAATAAACTGCAGACATAACCTCACATAACAGTGGAAATTGATTTTTTAACAAAGATGGCAAAACAATTAAAAAAGAAAGCAAAGTCTTCAACTAATGGTGCAGAAACAATTGAATAGTCAAATGGAGAAAAATGAAGTTTCGAATCATATCATGAATATATAAAAAATTAATTGAAGATGTATCATCGATGTAAGTATAAAAGCTAAAACTGTAAAGTTTTGAAAATGCAGAAAGATGTTATTGTAACCCTGGTGTAGGTAAAGCTTTCTTAGGATCCAAAAGCATTAACAATATATGAAAAATTTATAAATTGAGCTTCATAAAAATTGAAAACTTCTCTCACTAAGAGACACTATTAAGTAAATAAAAAGCAAGTTGCATACTGTGAGAAAATATTTATAAAATTTTCTGGCAAAAGACTTCTATTCATATTATAGGAAGAACTCCAAATTATAATTGTACACACCAACTACCCAATTAATAGACTAGAACAAACACTTTACTAGAGAAAATATTTCATCAAAGAGATGCAAATTAAAACAGAAATCATTCTATTTCTTCTAGAATGGCTAAATTTTAAAAATGTTTAAAAACAATTTTTGAGGAAGGTGGAGCAACTGAGAACTCTCATGCTATAAATTGCTTGAGGAAGTACAAAATAAAAAATTGTTAAATTGTTTTATAAACTTAAACATCTACCTGCCTAATGTATCAAGTCTGCTTCCTGGTACATAATGAAAACAAGTGAATGCATGCATCCTGTCACCACCAATGTTTGAAGAACTTTTTAGCATCTTAATTTATAATAGCTCCAAACTAGGAAGAGGAGGGATAAAAATAAAATATCTGTATACAAGAATTGTTGTATATTTATAAAGCAGGATAAATGAAGCAAGAAAATGTTATTACTGATACATGCAACAGCGTGGATTAATTTTACAGCTATCATATTGTGTGAAGGTACCAAGTAAAAAGTAATATATGCTCTATGATTCTACTGGAATGAGGTTCTAAAAGAGGAAAAAATAATCTGTGGTGATAGAAATCAAAACACTGGCTGACTCTGTAGGAAGAGACTGATTGAAAAGGACAAGGAAAGCAATTTATGGGGTTACAGAAACATTGTGTATTTTGATTTGATTGCTGTATACATGCGTAATAGATTTGTCAAAACCCATCAAGTGAACACTTCAGATCCCTGCATTTTTCTGAATGTACATTGAATCTGAATTTAACATATTTAACAATTCTAACTTGATGCATTGGATGTGCTTTTCTTCTCAATGTTTCTGGAACAGAATCATGATTTTCTCAATGTAGCTCAAGGAGATTAGTCCCTTGAAAATTAATCCACAATAATTGTATTTGTAAAAAATTTAGTTATAAACCAGAATCACAAAATAATCAATTTATAATTAGTGATATTACTATTACGTTCATAGTAGTAGCAAGGACATCTACTGTCTCCAAGTCTTTCTGGTGAAGCCAAATTCCAACCAGAAGTTAGTTTGGTGAATACAGAATGAATTCAACCACAATTAGTTTTATAAATTTCAATGGCTGGTGTCATCAAGCTGGGATAACCTGAGGCAGCCATCTCCCTTTCTAGCCAAGTGGACCTCTTCCCACACTAGACAGATACAAAGTCAAAAAGCCAGGCTCCAGCCTCTGAATGCACTTTTTCTGGGCTCATCTGAAAGACTGTCTTTCTGTTAACATAGCCTTTCTCTGAAGAATAGTATGATCAATGACAATTAAGCTTCCTATTCAAAATCACCTTCTAATCTTGCTCTACTGAGATTTCTACTAGGTCATTTTGTTTAGATTTTCATGTTTCTATGTTTCTTATCTATGAAGAGCTATTGATGCAGAAATATAACCTCATCCTCTATGTATATATTTTAATATTTTAGCTCTTACAGAATAAATTCTCAGGGGTCCTTCATTATAACATCTTCTGTATTTGTAATGAAACTTGACATGTTTGATATGATTGATCCTACATAAAAATTTGAATGCAATGGTTTGTGTCACATCAATTTATTTAAAGGCTATATTTTATTAGCAAAAACAGTTCCTAGCCTTATCTCTGAATTCCATCCTTCATCCCTTCTTTGATCCTCCCTCTATCTTTGACTTATAAGCTTCTCTCCATTTTAACTCCATCTATAGCTCTAAACTCTCATCTTTTATTTGGCTAATTCCCAAGTCTTAGCTCATCCCAAACACATCTGGATGTAGTGACAGGGTAATATTCAGCCACAGTGTGAAAATATATGCCTTTCATATTACTTGGCAATAAAATGGCTAAATGTTTAGTTTTCTTAATGTACCTCATCCAAATTATCTCTAGTCAGAATGATCACATAAAACTATTAAGTAAAATGAATTCTGGTATCAAAATGGCTGGTGAAAATAAAAGTTTTTCTCTAAATGTTATATACCCATGTATCGTAGATTCTATTTTGAAGAGAGAATGCAAAGATGGATTAACTGATTAACATGATTAAGTCTCATGCTTTGTAGGTATAGGTAATCTGACTGGAAAGTAGTCTCACCCCCTTCTTACCAAGGTAGATTCATGAGTGTGTATATTCTTTCTTAATTCTTCCATTCATGTCCCACCTGAAACTGTGATTTGAATCAGATGGAATTACTTCATCTAAAGTCATATATTTTTAATATGGAGTTGGAACTGCAGGACTTAATTTTGATGATTGGTAACAATGACCAAATTTGTAAATATGCCAGAGTCTTACAGGAATGAATAAGTAAAAGTTCATTCTTTCAAGGTTTCTATTTTCCTGTATATTAGATAAAACATATCATGTGGGGTTATTTTTAAGATTGAAAAAGTAATATTTGACTGTCATTTTAGAGTAATAAACATCCCTATAATTAGAATGATCATATGCTTAACAGAGGAGACAAAAGTAAGTTCAATCCCATGACACAGCAAAGATTGCTTATATGAGACATATTGTGTCTCTGAATTCCTAAGAGAGCATGACAGTTATTTTATTTTATAACAAATTACTGTGGAGGCCAGAAAGAGGCTGGGGCCTGACACAACCACAAGCAAGCCCTAGTGCCCAGGTCCTGGTGACTGAGATCAGTCTGGAAGACATTCTCAAATAAGTGGGGAAATATCTGGTTATCATAAAGGCAAATGACAAAATATGCCTCAAAGAAGAATAAAGAAACAGTGATTTGTCCGAAAATATAGGCAGAGAACTACCATAGATTAACAGAAGGCTGGTACTCAGAGATCTGCCCGTTTTAAGTTTGTGTGAATGTCTGCAGGAGTCAGAGCAAGGATAATCTGACTTTGGATCCAGGTGGGGGATGGGATCTAGAGTCTAAGGACAAATCCAGATCGTAGTCAAGACCTCTCAATTACTCAAAGTTTAAGAAATTAGCCAGCCTGCTGGCACAGTCACATGAGCAGGACTGTTGAGATGTAAATGAGAGGACCACAGTAAAAGGGAACACAGAGATTGTGCCCTTCGGGTCAGTATGTAGTTCAAGTGTTTTCTGTTCAGCCCTGGGTACACTTCCACAATCAGCCTAAGAAGGAGAGGCAGATTGTAACTGCTGAGAAATTACACTTGAATAAAAGTCATTGAGCTATAAAAAGACAATCAGACAGGAGTCTCCAGCAGCATCAGGTTTTCTAGAGTTGGATGAGGGACCAGAAGCATATACAAGGCATAACTACCTGAAGTATTTAATCAATATAGGAGACTTCACTTTATTTTATTCAATATTGAGTTAGTGCAAGTATTACAAGTTATTCCATTTTCACCAGTGCAAACAGAAAATGAGTGAGAAGACATTTGCTTAAATAGACATCAATATGTGTGCAAATAAAAAAGCAATTAAATTGTTTTTGATGAGCTTATTTTATTTATTTCATGATTATTTGGAAGGCTGTTCTGGCAAACTACATGTTCACTAAAAATATTCATTTTCTCTCAGGTTATGAAAAAAAAAGTTGTTCTCAGGTTTTTAAACCAGTAGCAAAATTAATAAAAAAATTTACATATATAATTATATATAATTTTTCATATTAATGGTTGAATATAATCCCCCCAAAAACTTGTATACTATCTTATTATTTTTAGTTTTATGAAATTATTATTTCTAAAATCAAAGGAAAAATACATTATTTTAATATATTCAGTAGATATGTATTTAAGTAAATAAGAAAGGTAGTCATGCAAAAATGACTTGAAATTTTATAGAATGTTTACACATTTCCACCTAAAATTTAATAGCTTCATATAGCTATAATTATATACCCAGTAGAGACCATTTTATAAAAATATTGTTCAACTTTCTACTTATGTTCAGACTGTAGTTTCAAATAATTCCATAACAGTTTACCTAAATAAGGATTGAGTAACAAAATCTAAACAAGATATTAGAAACATAAAAAGTTTATATAAGTGAATAATAAATTTGTGTATTAATGTGAGGTCTTATATTTAAACAGACGTTGAACTGATAAAATACATATTTATAAATTAAACCAAAAGTTATACATTATGCCACCCATAACATTGCTGTATTTGCTGAATAATAAATGTTAGAATGTGGTATGGTTTATGTGAAGAATGAGTATATAAGATTTCTGCTGCTGAGCTAGGTTACATCACATTGTATCAGACCAACACTTCTGCTGAGAAAATATTTAAAAATGAATAAAATATTTTAAAAAATAAATTTAAAAACATCAGAAAACCCTCCAGTCAGCCAAAATTTTAGAGGTCAACATCTTAGAGAGACAAGAGACAAAAAGATGAAAACTCGAGATTGGAAGTTGCACTGAGCTTGGAGCTATTTACCTACTCTAATTAGATCATGATGACCTGTGCTTAGCATAACTAGTAGAAGAAAGGCTGAGAAGCTGATCAAAATGTTTTATTTGACAGTCTCATGAAGATGCACAAACATGGGATGTGGGGATGGGAGGGTGGTGGGCCCTGGAATAGAGCCTGGGATTTCAGTTGACATCCCCAAAGAGATGCATCCAAGAAAATGGCCAAAGAGAATATAGAATCACACTTATGAAGACTGAAATCTACCCTGAAACAATCTAATTTCTGATAGGATTAAAGCAATCTGCTCGTTATGTAACTGCTGGTTGGTAGAAAAGAAAGTAAAAATAGCATTTCTGGATCCACAAATAACCTATATGAATGTTCACGAACAACGTCTAACATTTAAAAAAAATACCACATATACCAGGAAATGAGAAAAGCTAACTGAAACCAATTAAAAATCTAGACCCACTCCTCCTGTAAAACGAAATAAAACCAAAACCTACAGAGAGATAAAAAAACAAGTAATAGAGCTATCAATCATGAATTTTGAAATAACTGTGATTAATATATTTTAGAAAATATATATTTAAAAATTTAGAATTTCAGTAGGAAATTCGAATTTATAGAAAATCATTCAAATACAACTCTAGCAATAGAAAAACATAATATTAATAATTAAACATTTCTTTGATAATACTTTAGACAGAACTCAAATATCATCTGAAAAGATAAATCAATGTAAATAACTGACCTGAAGCACAGAGACATTAAAAATTCAGAAAATACAGAAAGAAAGGATAAGACACCATAAAGGAAACTAAATTTGGTTTAAAGGTACCTCCATAGGTGGTAAACTGTAACCTAACTTTGTATGTAAATCAACTTCCACTTAATTTAAGAGCATATTCTTGTAACAAATAGCTTCACCCAATTGCAGCATCCAGGCTTCAGCCACAGACTGCCAACTGATCAGATCTTTAGGTTTTTCCTTTTAACAACATATATGAGATAAGGAAAAAGAGTCTAAAATGTTTGCCATTGGAGTTAGGAAGGAAATTTTAAAAAAGGTAACTGGGCAGAAGCAATATTTGAAGAATAATAGTACAGATATTTCAAAAAAATGACACAAGATACCAAGCAACAGATTTAACATTAACACGACAAACTCCAAGGGGGTGTTATAGCCACTTTGTTGGATTTTTTGGCAGTATCTTCTAATATGAACATAAATTGCCACGTAAATAGGCAATTTCTATCCTAGGTACAAAGAAAAGAGAAATGTTTATATCTGTGCAGCAGAAGACATGTTCAAAAATGTTCATTGCAGCATTATTTGAAATGGTCCTAAATTGAAAACAACAAAATTGTTCACAAGTGAATAATGTGTAAATAAACTGTTGAGTATGCATATAGTGGAATATTGTATAAAACAAAAAGGAACACGTGGCAACTACCTACAACAACATGGCTTAATATCACATTCATAATTGTGAAGTCAGACATAAGAGGTCATGTGATCTAAAAGTGCATTTGAATAATGTTCAGAAACAATCTAATATTGGAGAGGGTGGATACCTCTAAAGAGAATTAGTGTTGTTACCAAGAGAGGGCTTGAGGGGAACTTCTGAGCTTTACATTTTCCGTCAGCAGTACATTTTCTTAAATTTGAGACATTTGGGATTAAGCTAAATCCTGAGGTTTTAGGAGGATGACCAATGAATGATACCCTCCATTCCCAGGACCTGAGTCCAGGGTATTGTCCTATATCTTGTTTTGGATTTGTTCATGGGTGTGTTAACTTCTCAAGAATTGCTAAACATGTAAACTTATAATTAGTTCATAATTTTTAATGTAAATCATATTTTAATAAAAATTAATAGTAAATATAATATACTGTTCCAGAAAAGATTATGAAAGCTAATGGATGTATCAAAAATGAAAGTCCAATGGACAATCCTGGCACATTTTCAAATTTATGGGAGTAATCAAAGAATATTTTCATAAAAAAAGGAGGGAAATTCTCAGTTTTATCTCAGAGAAATCACTGACTGTTGGCCAAAATAACTATTACAATTTCTTTCATTTGCAATTTAATACAGATATTTAGATATTTAATACCCTTCACTCAAAAAACCAGCAGTTTCAAAGAATTTGCAGATGTTTGGTTATAGATCATTTAGCCAAAAAAGTCCCCTTTATTGTAACACAATCAGATAAGTGATTTACATTGCAAAATCCTTGTTGCTTTTGGCCAATTCATGTGATTTGCATTCTTGCCCTGTTCCACAATTTGATGGGTATCATTCACCTTATATTTTATATGAAAGGTGCCCTGAAAAGATACACAAAAATGTTAATGATAAATCAAAATTGTTTATCTGATGATAATATTGCGCAGTGCCTCATGGGAGGCAGAGCCTGAGGCAAGTTTTACAACTGATCAACTCTGTCCAGGTAATCTCATTGTGAATGTGAACCAGTCACTTCATCTTCCACTAGAGTGAACATAGATTATGCATATCTTTAAAATGATATTATATGAATAGAAATATTTCCAACCTTTCCCTAAGTTACTTGCTGAAAAAATAAATGTATAATATGTGAGGATAATAGTTGATCACAGAGGATTATTTGCAATATATATGTCACATATCTTAACTTTTACACTTACATTGATTCATGTGTTCAGTGTTTTATGCATTTCTCTCGTTTGTTACAGCATCAACATGTGGGCAAATTCCTGAATCCAGTTTTCAAACATACACTCACGGTCGTGAGGTAGAGGAGTTAGTCTCCTCGAATTTCAGTCAGTTATGTGAGAAGGTACTTGGTTATCATGTGGGCATCTTCATTTGGCCATCTCCTGGGTAAATGGCAGAGATATATGATGGTTAATGATTATTCAGAGCCATGTTATGCTAGAATGGTTAGCTAAGTGAATAATGTATCTTATCTCTAATTTTTTTTCTTGACCCTTCAACATTAGCTCCCTTTGCTATTAAGAATGCTATTTGCAGAGATGGTGTAGTCTTAAGACTTTGGATTTGTGGGCTTTGAAGTTTCCTCAGCACAATAAGCTCTTTTTCTACTGTGTCTACTTTTGCCACGGGCCACTGCTCATTGTACAACCAGCATGCTGTTCCCTGAGTGAATCTTCCTGAAAGTCTGTAAAAAGGGAATCTGAGGAAACAGAGCCCTTCATCAAAAGGTTTCTGCATGAGCGCACATTCAATTCTCCACTGTTTTGATAAGGTACAATCTTTCTTTTCTCAAGTCCAAACTGCTTATTAATGCTTTTGTAATAATTGCTACCACATGTTCAGAAATGCAAATCTTATTCTACTCCTTCAGCAGTACATTTCCTCAAATTTGAGACATTTGGGATTAAGCTAAATCCTGGGGCTTTAGGGGGATGATCAATGATACCCTCCATTCCTAGGTCCCAAGTCTAGGGGAGGGAGTAAACCTATGGTGCTCTGCATATTTTGGCCCAGGTTGGGCTTGTAAGACAATTGTCTCTTATAAGATTTTTTCTTAATATCTCACAGATAGCCATTTGAAATTCAGAAGCCAGTGTAGGCAGTGAATCATATGGCAGCTCTATTCCCTGCATGGTCTCATTTGAGGCAGGTAAAGATTTTTTACACAATATGCTCATTGGCATACTGTATAATAAAGAGACCCAAGAGAAAAATATCTTTGCAAAAATGAGTCAACTAAAATGCATAATTCAAAAACACTCATTGGAAAGTCAAGGATCCTGATTAAAAGATAACAAAGCCTAATATTTAGTTTAGCATATCTACACAGGGAAGTAGAAAAGAAAATAAACTTTATTCTGATCAATAATGTGGCTTTCTGAATGTAAATGAGTCAAGGAAACATTCCCTTTTCCAAAATGGGTTGAAATAATACTGTCAATGTCTTATTGACAAAGCCCAATATCCAACAGGAATAAAAGTATACATATGTGCATGTGCTTGTTTGTGTGTATGTGTTTCAAAAGATGCAGTAATTAAACAGGCATATCTGTAGCTTGGACAAACAGAAATCAAAATGTGACAAAGAGGGAGAGATGAAGTATTCTTCTGGTGTGATTTTAACAGCCTGGTAAAATACTGTTGGGTAAGCCCAGAGGGATAGTGAGTCAGTAACAACCATATTCTTATAATCCTGATATAATTTATTTAACAAAAGGAAAAGGTCTTATAGAGTTTTCCATTTCCCAATGGGCATAAGAGATCATCTTATATAAAATAGATGCTGAATAATGTTTATGAAATGAATAATAAGCAGAAACATAAGCTTGTTTCATGTATAGCGTTTTTTTTCAATTAACTTTCAATAAAAGCAACACCTCAAATTGAAGAAAAAAGTTATCCCACTGAAGCATTCCTCAAACTATGTCGAAATGTTGGGAAAAACACATCTGCATATGTGGTAATAGAACACAAGGTGACAGTTTAGAATGAGATGAGATTGACATCAATGTTTACCATTCAAACTATAAAGTCGTGCAGGTGAGTACAAATTGGATTGGGGAGAAGAAAATGGCAACTCTGAAAGAAAACATTATGTGCTATCTAATCTAACATTCAGAAACTTGACATGCTCCATCCTCTATAAGCTAAATTTGCTGAGCCTTATTTCATTCAACAAATTTCTTTGGTTATAAAACAGGCATTCTTTTGATTTCTGTGTTTGTATGAATTGACAATTTGTTTGTAAGTAATATCTAGCTGTCTCTATTATTACAGAGATTCCCTCATTCCTCAGAAAAGTATTAGGCATCTTGCAAAATATTTTACACTTTAAGAGGAGAAAATCACCCAGCTTACACAACACATTCTATGGGATGTGTGTCTGTGTGTGTGTGTGTGTATAAAATAAAATTCATTTGCAAATTGAGTGATCAAATTGTTCTCATTCCCCTTCTTTGGACATGAATTTAAGAAGCACTTTTCTTTACTTCACTATAAACAGCCCAGCCTCAAACTTCTAAAGAAAAATGAGAGCTCTGTAGTCTGCAAGTTCCCAATCATATGCATTCATGAAATGGATAATATCTTATGAGATCTTGATTTGCTAAAAAGAGAAAATAAATAACTTTTGGCTCACCAAAGATAGGGACTCTGAATCAATATTTCATAAAAGATTACTAATATTAGAATAGGCATACAATTTTGATCTAGTTAGTTTTCTCTTGGTTAAATTAACTGAAATAAAGAAAATATAAAAGATATTATGTCCTCCAAGTTCAGTATTTTAGAGCTTTCCTGAATTCACTCCAATGTATAATGTTGTCTAAATTACGTACTCATTTGCCCACATTAACATACTTACTTTTAACTCATCAGATATTTCACTTTAGTATGCAAAATAATATTTTTATGTTTATGGTTATAAATTATGAAACAGCGGACAGGCACGGTGGCTCATTCCTGTAATCCCAGCAGGCTGAGGTGGGCGGATCTCCTGAGGTTGGGAGCTCAAGACCAGCCTGACCAACATGGAGAAACCCTGTCTCTAATAAAAATACAAAATTAGCTGGGCATGGTGGACACGCTTGTAATCCCAGCTACTCAGGAGGCTAAGGCAGAAGAATCGCTTGAACCCAGGAGGCAGAGGCTGCAGTGATCCAAGATCATGCCATTGCACTCCAGCCTGGGCAACAAGAGCAAAACTCCATCTCAAACAAAAAAAAATTATGAAAGAGCAATTTTTATAACACACATCAAAGAGAAAGCCCAATACTGAATGTGAGCCACAACTAAATATACAGTTTAGTCAGAATTAAAATAGTGTCTGGTTTATATGAGATCAAAAACAGGGATGATGCATTATTCTTCTACATTTATATTACACACATACTCATCCATAAGTCCCAGCCAAAAGAAGTGAAGACTAACTGAAAGAAGGCAACAGCACACTAAAATGTCAGTAGGATTAAAAAAAGACAATTAAACAACATTTGCATTTTAGATAACACTAGAAATTAAATGCAATTTTAAGGTTGTATTACTTTAAGTAATTGAAATCTGTATTTGCTCCAAGCACATGGTGAAGAGAGAATGTGTCTTAGACCTTGTTTAAAAAAAATTGAAAAGATCCTCCCATACCCACAATTGTCAGCCATTCCTTTATTTCCTTTTATCAAAATTCAGCTGTGAGTGAAAAGCAAGTTGTGGTATCTTCAAGACTCAGCTGATTTATAGTGCCCCACATTTGGTCCAGACTAAAATAGATCATTTTGATTGCCTCCTCAAAGAACAGGCTCATGGAAAATAAACTGTCCCTGAGAAATCATTAGGACAGAAAATTAGGACAGGTAGATTTAAGCGTCTCACCAGGAAACTGTAATACTTAAGAGTTTCAAGTTTCTCCAAGGGCCTAGGGAGTAATTTTAAGTTTCAGGGCACTCCAAAACTATCATGAGTTGTTGACTCTTCTTAGTCCCCACACCCCAACAAATGGGATTTAGTTCAAACCTGCATCTAGGACTAGATCACCCAGTGCAATGAGCACAACACACACACACACACACACACACACACACACACACACACACACACACATATTTTTTCCAGTTGGCTCCTTATCTGTCCTTGAGAAATTGAGACTACAAAGAAACTGAAGGGAGAGCACTGACAGGCAGGTGAACAGCTTCTTATCCTCTTCCAGATAGTGATTTTGGTATATCTCAATCACTGGAACTGTAACAAACACATACAGCTAGAAACAATTATCTCTGGGGAATGTCATCCAGTTATGTTAGATTCTACAATTTCCATAAAGCCGCTTAATTCTCCATGCAGGATTCTATGAGAGATTTGATTTTGGGTTAATGTTATGATAACTACTACTTATTGACCATTTACTGTGAATCAGACACTGCTATAAGAGTTTATATTATTGATTATTTAATCCTCACAAAAATAGTCAGTAGTGCCACCATTCCCACTTTACACATCTTAAGATAAAGCAAAGATAAATCAGATAGCTAGAAGCACTGAATAACTAGCCCAACATGAATCTCTGCTACACTAACCTACTAATAAGTAGAAGAGTGGATTTGGACCCAAACAATCAAGCACCAAAGTCCATGTCATCCATTACACTCCTGCTTCTCAAATGTGAGTACTCATGTATGTGACAGTGATCCTGAAGATGATACTGGCTCTAAAACCTTTTGAACACTTTGAGTTCAACTGTGTAATACTACAGCATGGGACTCTTCTGAGGCATCTGCCACTTTGAGGAATGTCCTCTTTCTTAAACTCTCTTCACTTTATTTATTTTTTATTTTTATTTTTATTTTTTTTTGAGATGGAATTTCACTCTTGTTGCCCAGGTTGTAGTACAATGGCACAATCTCGGCTCATCACAACCTCCGCCTCCCAGGTTCAAACGATTCTCCTACCTCAGCCTCCCAAGTAGCTGGGATTACAGGCATGCACCACCATGCCCGGCTAATTTTTGTATTTTTAGTAGAGACAGGGTTTCACCATGTTGGTCAGGCTGGTCTTGAACTCCCGACCTCAGGTGATCTGCCTGCCTCTGCCTCCCAAGTGCTGGGATTACAGGCATGAACCACTGTGCCTGGTCTCTTTATTTTTATCCATAACATGAATCTTTCTAGTTTTAGTCAAATATTTTGAATATTTGTCTGAATTGTTATTTATCTTTCCTTCCCTTCTCTGGTTGATTTCCAGAGATCCAGAGAGACTAGGTAAATCTGACATATCTGTTTTCAAGAGGAGAAGCAATGCTGATATACATTTTATTTTAGCATAATTTGAGCACTTACAGACTGTGTTGTTGTAACCTCCAGGGCCATGTTTTGTTCAAGACTGAAAATAGAACAAATTATCCATACATGATTTTTATTAATGCTGTTGGACTATCTCATTTAAATCTTTCCATGTCCCTGTAAAATCAGCATTGTACAAACAAGAAAGATATATACCAGAAAATAAATATAATTTACACAGGGTTGCCCACAGTGACTCCTACAGTTAATATATGAAGAAAGACCTGAAGGAAGCAATGGAGTAAGCCAAACAGAAATGTGGGAGTTGCCTTTTCAAGACAGAAGGATCCGAAAAGCAAAGGTGACCACATGTTGGGCATGATTTAGGAACAGCAGAAGACTCATGTGACAGTTGTTTAATAAGCAAATGAAAAACTAAGGCATGATGAATCTCGCAAAGTAGCAGTGAACCTTATCCTATAGAGCCTTGTATTCCATTGGAAGGAAGTGTGGCTTTTGCATCTGAGCAACATGAGATACCATTGATGGTTTGGGGCAAAGCAATGATATAGTCTGCTTTGAGTTTTAATAAGATAATTCTAACTGTTGTGTTAAGAACAATTTTTTGATATATTGAGTGCAGAGAATTAAAGAAACAAATGAGTCAGATGAATCCAGGATGTTTTGCTTCATTCATTGTAAAATGGGTTTTGCATTTATAGAGGTGGGGAAAACTTAGGAGAAGTATATTTGGGGGAAGTTTAGAAGTTTTGCTTTGGGTGTGTTAAATTTGGGATGTTTATCATTCATTAACATAGTTAGGTCAGATAAAAATATAGCTATAAGAGTCTGGAGTACAAGGCAGATATGCAAGATGAATATTTCAATATCTGAGTCATATAGCACATAGGTCATATTTAAAACTGTGAACTGAATGAGATCTCCAAAGAGGTCAAGTAGTTACAAAAGATTTAAAGACTGAGCAGTTGGATGCACAAATCATTAGAAGTCAGGAGTATGTAGGTAAACCAACAAAATCAGGATACACCAGAAGACACGGTGAGTAATGTAAGAGGAAAATCAGGAGCAGATAATGTTCTGGAATCCAGGAAGCAAATATTCAAGGAGAGGGCCTAAGAAACCATGAAAAATCTTGAAAATAAGTCAACCAAGATGAGAGTGGAGAATTGACCATTGATTTTTAAAAACAGAGAGCAACTTGATAGCATGAAAGCATTTTGGTAAACTGGCAGAGACGATTTCTGACTAGAATGGACTCTCAAGCGAGCACAAGAGGAGATACATTAACGATTAATATACACCTTTGAATTTTATCTGATTTCCTGGCTTTCAGACCCCACCCTGTTTTTATGGCTGGCTCCTCCCAGTACAGGATGAAGTATAGTCCCCCAGGATTTAAAGTGCTTATTTAACAGGTAAAATTTTGAGCTATGATGCATAGATATTTACATTAAAATAAAATGGATAGAGGTTTCCTAAACATTTTTTCTTAATATTCTAAACATAAGGTAATTCTAAATATGCTACTTTGTTTGAATGATAATAATAAGAACAATTGCACTTATAATATTTCAAGTTTATGTCCTAGAAGTCAATGTCATTATAAATGAGATGCTATCTAAAACACTTTTAATATTGAGACTCAGGTAGCTTGGAAATAAATTAACTGAACTGAGATTGTTATTTCCTAAGATAAAAAGGAATGATTTCTTTTCTTTTAATCTTTTACTTAATTTTATTTTGTTCAAATACTTCTCAGTTATTAAATAGTCATAGCTCATTCTTTAAATTATATCTTTTATTTTTCTGAATCAAATTACACACACCCACTTATTACATACCAAGTAAAGTAGCAGAGCTTTTCCTCAGATGACTCTCAGACAGTTTCAAGGAACCTGTGAACTAACTTATTTAGAAAGAAATATTCACACATGTCACAATCGCCAAAAGTATGAAAGTCATCTTTATTTAAGATAAAAGATAAGTATTTCCAGTGTAAGGATTCTTTCATATGAAAAAACCTCACTGTGCTTTATTTTCTGTCTATAGATGAATCATGTGTGGATAAATTGTGGATCACATTTATCTTTTGAAACTTACTACTTGAGGTAAGAAAAATAAAAAATATGTCATATTTGAATACACTTAGAAGTTCTCTTACAGCCCAACACTTCACAACTTTTATCTTTTTTATGGCACCAACTGCTTTTTGAATTGTATTTCTCTGTAAATACCATTTTTTGTTTAACACCATTTTCATTTTCCTCTTGCTTTATTTCTCTCCCTATTGTGTTTTTCTCTGTTACTTTTGCTCTTCATGAGGACCGAATATTTTCTGTCAAAAGTAACAAAACACCATTCTATTAAATCCCTGGCTTTTGAAAAGAGTGCTAATAACTTTGATCACTGCATTTGTATAATTAAGGTGCAGGTCCTTGCTTTAAAGGAGTTCATCTCTTGCTTTGAATCTGGGAGGGATGATGCATTTATGAAGATGAGCACTCTGTTGGAAAGTCCATGGTCCCCTTTGGTGTCGCATCTATCTATGTCCCCAGACTGCTCATCCAATGTTCCAATGACAATGATTAGCGAGACCCCCTATGAGCTGCAGATGGAATGAGGCAGAACGATAAGGCACATTGCCTTTCAGATCAGCAGAGAGAGGGGCCTTCTTCACAGGAAGCCCAAGAGGAAGCCGTTTAAACAAGCGTGCAGAAAATATTGGGGTAATTACCAAGCACCAGGAGGGGGTCTCAGCATTGAGAATAGATTCAAAAATTCATTCAGCAGATTAATTGATGCTTTCCCTGCAGCTTGTCTTTGGAAATAATTCCCATGGAAATTCACAGCTGAGAGTGGGAAAGTGTATTATAAAAAGACATTTTCATTACAGCATATATGTTTAGTAATGCTTGAACCACATTTGTTTCTGTCAGAGAAGCTTTGACTCTTTTGATCATTTGACTTTGTAGGTTTGCTCTCTAAAATAAGACTCTTGGACTCACAAAGGCCAGAAAACCTTTATGTCTGCAGATATATGATAAGAAGATGTTTAAAGTACTCTGTTGGAAATATCTGGGCAAGTTTTTGTGACTTCAATTATTTTCTGGCATAGTATTCTTGATTGCCATTCTGACGACTGATTCAATTTATCTAGAACAAAATCTGTTTTGGTTGTGTTTGAACAGGGAGTGCCATAAAGGAGAAGGACTGGTATCCCTCAGTCCCACAAGGTCACTGGAGTGGAACATCAGTGCTATGACATATTTGTTTCCGGGGAAAAGCACATTGGCCTTTGCCTCCTTCTTTTCTAACCAGCTGGCAAATAAAGGTATTTGACAGCAAAAATACAGAGATATCCACTTATCAAATATACTAGTTTGGAAAAGGTGTCAGAAAGCAGAAATGAATGGGTGTGTGTTGTGTGCTGTGGCACCATATTTATAGAACACAGGGTTAGCCTTAAGAAAGACATACCTATCTTTTGGAAATATTGATCTGTCATTTTGAAAAATAGGAAGAAAAACTGTTAAAATTCTGTTGCTGCATTATTTTCATTGGCATCCCTAGGAAAATCCTTTTACTACGTCCAGTTTATTGGAAATAGTCTTAGAATAAATTAATGTGAGTATCCTCACTGCAGATGTCTGTTCATGCACATAATGATTTTAGCACCACTTGGGAATTCAAGAGTGAGGATATCTATTCCTTTGAAATGGGGTGAACAGGATAGGTGGTTCATCTCTCCCATGATGAAAGCATATACTGTTGCTTTCACCTTGAATGCACTTCCCTTTCTTGTGTGCTGACATGCTACACTTATGTGGCTAAGACTGTATTATGACTTCCGTGGGACCCTTCCTTTACATTAAAATTTATGGTTCACAATCTCACTGATATAAAAGATGAATATATTAGTGATATATATTAAAACATTTTATTTGACCTAAAAATTTATTTGTTCTTCTTATTTAAAAGAAATTAAACTATTTATGGCCCCGGCATCCATTGTGGGCCCCAGGCATTGTACTTATTGGACAATGAATTACTCAGTCTTGCATTCAAGTAAATGTCCAAGTAAAATGTTGACAGTTATATGGAAGCTTCCCATGGCAACCATTTCCTTCTTTCTCTGACTAACAGATCCTAAATTTTGTTCAGGGTTCAGGAAAGAAAAGGCCCAAGGAGTAAGTGCCTCCCCTAACCAAAGGATAGACCATGATTGGCTCAATGCCATCATGGAAATTCTGTTCCCTTTTGTCAAGCAGGAATTTTAAGTGTGGGCCATCTTTTTTTTTTTTTTTTTTTTCTGAAGGAGTGTCTGTGTCACCAAGCTGGAGTGCAGTGGTGTGATCTTGGCTCAGGCTCACTGCAACCTCTGCCTCCCAGGTTCAAGTGATTCTCCTGCCTCAGCCTCCTGAGTAGCTGGGACTACAGGCATGTGCCACCATGCCCAGCTAATTTTTTTTTTGTATTTTTAGTAGAGATGGGGTTTCACCATGTTCACCAGGATGGTCTCGATCTCTTGACCTCGTGATCTGCCCGCCTTGGCCTCCCAAAGTGCTGGGATTACAGGCGTGAGCCACCACGCCTGGCCAAATGTGGGCCATCTTTTGATCATAAAGGATGTCATGGTTTAGCAGATCAATGGAAGGAGCCTGAATATTTGATAAAACTGTTGAGCCACTGAATTAACCGGGGATTCTTTTTTTAATTCATGAGCTATTCACTTTGCTACCAGATTTGCTTCTATAAAAACCATAGCTTTCAATGCAGGCAATCTCTCTTAGGCTGTCAAGCCAAGATTATCTATTTGATCCTGTGGCAAATTGATAATAAATGGGATAAAAATGAATTTTCTGCATCGGGCCACCTGTATTTGAGTTTTGTTTTGGAATGAGTCATTGTAAAAGGAAGACTTTCAGAGATTATTATCAGAAAGAGTCACGTCAGCCAACGGGGAGAGGGGAAGAACTGACTGACATATCAGTACCAAATCAAGAAGAGCTACAAAACATGGCACTTCTTGGGGTTGGCTGGGAAGCACAAACATGAATAAAGCAGAACAATCTTTTCTGGATAATGCATTCAGTTGAGCCAATCTGGTACAAATCCAATAGCGCTTTAGGGTTAGAAAACTTTAAAATATGGGGTGTTTTGATATATGTCCTGCAGATTGGTTTGGCCCAGTGAAAGTCTAACCTTCTGTGGATCATGCCATGTTTTCCTCTGGGATATGGACAAAATAGAGTGAGAGCAATATGAGGTTATTACGTTATCCTTTGCCCCTCACATGCACATCTACAGCTTTTAGCTATGTTTAGCCCTTTCTAGAATGGCAATAAATATAGATCCTTTGCCAAACCACTCAATGTTTCTAAGTAGCACTATCAGAGGCAAGGCAATCTAGGCAAATTTCTGTAGTAAAATCTATTAAAAAATATATGTATAAGAGGGAGATATGGGTACATAGCTTTAAAATTTCAGAGCAGTGTTGTTCTAATGAAAGTTTGTCAAAAAGATTAAAGCTTGAAACTAAGGACAAAAAAAAGATATGGGGATTGGTCATTTTGGAACTGGGATAAGGTAACAAGGAATTATAGAACTATTGTTGGTGACAGATGATGACAAGAGGTTATAATTCATTCAACCAAAATGTACTTACAAATGTTCTACTATCTCCAGGCATTGGTCAAAGTGCTGGGTGATAGGTTTATAGTGAGGGATAAACCTGATGGCATAAAGAATTCATAACTACCAAATGTAATTCTTTACATCATTTCTAACAAAGATACTGGTATTTAGTCAGGAAATGATGTAATAAATACAGCTCTGGACATACAAGAAGTTGTTTAAGAAGTAGTTATTTGAGTGAAAGTTTTGGGGTTCAAGCAAACAGACCAGAACCTGCTCTCAACTGGGGAGGGGGAGAGATACCAAAACAATACCATCCTGACTTTACTGAGAGGGAAAAAATATATAGTCAGAAAAATACAGATTAGTAACCTCAATTTTACTAATTGAACAAATATTGTGAGAAGGATCATCCCAAGAACAGGGAAGCAGAGTTTGCCACCTAGGGGGGACATTGTCATGTTATGTATTAGTAAAGTAAACAATATGATGATAAATGTATAATGTGTAGAAGGCTATATATATATATATATATCTTCTAGGGAGTGGAAAGAAAGTGCATTAGGTAAGATGCCAGTAACAGAACATTGAACTAAACAAGGCATAAACATAGAAGACATTTATCTCATTTGCATTTTATGAAATTATCTTGAAAAATAAGATTTAATGGAGTTCAATAACATTCTGATTCATCAAATCCCCTTTGTTCATTTTTTCCCATCAGAATATCAATACCCAAGAAAACACTAACACAAATGAATATTGGCATTCACTTGTGTTATGAATACCAATATTCATTTCTGAATATTGTTTAATGCATGGAGTGAACACAAGCACAAGCACAAGCACAGTGGAATAAAACAGCAAGAGCAAAGACATAAATGCAGTGAATAAAATTTATAAGACCTGCTATAAACCTTCGTTAAGTATGTAATACTAGAAATAAAATATATTTTTATAAAAGGTCTTTAAAGAAGTAAAAGTGTCTCCAATATTTTTAAAAGATCAAAAAATACAATTGCAAGAAGAAAACAGAAAATTCTATAACTTTTATATATGTACATTAGAAATGCAAACATAAATGAGAAGATACTTCTATATGTATGGACTAATCCTTAAAATGTTAGAAGGATGTTAATAATTCAAAATAATATAACATCAACTAAAACAATAGGCCTCAATATAGCTACAAAATTATCTAAAGGGAGACTGAGTTTAAACTAACCCTCCATTTGGCTGATCAATCTGTAGTCAAAATGCTTCTAGGAGACATGGGTTTAGGTCATTGCTTTTTGAGAATCAGGTATCTTACCCAGGCAAATCAGTATTGGGCTTTCTGACTACATTAATTGTAAATGCCTATAGGATACTTGCATTTCATAACCTATGCCTCCCACTATGCCCCCAGATAAGGCATCTGATTGAGGAAAGCAAACCTAGCAGGGCAGACACAATGGCAGGGCCACTTTTGCCTCTGTTACCTTCAGGGATTAGCTTTCCTCTGCCTACAATTCTGTTCTTGGTAACTTGGTTTAAACCTTAAATTTCCCCAACTTAGGCAAATACAGTATTTATTCTCCTTTTATTTGTTCTAAGTATCCCAAAGATGTGAATTCATGAGCAGTCAGTTTGGTTTTCACATACTTTCCCATTTCTTCCCCTTTTAGATAATTTAGAATTACAATAATTTAATTATTTATTGCTTGTGTCTTAACTCTTTATCCATTTCCTCTTTGAGAAGCTCTGGCTATGGAGGCAATCTGATATCTTTCACATGATTCAATACAATGTAAGGTATCAGGTATTTTTCTAGAAGGGAGAGTTAAGAGTTCCAGTTTATGAACCAATTCTTTTGTGTTCAAACAGGATTAGAAGAATATTCTCCCTTTCATTTTCTTAACTTATAAAATAAATTAATAAGTCTAGATAGGAATTTTTCAGTGTTCTAATAATTTGTATAAGTCTTCACAAATCTCAGATAAAAAATTAAAGAAAATAAAGTGGTCTTTAGTGTTAAATTTTAAAATGAGTTCATGATAGGTAAAAGCATACTTGTTTAAAATATGGAGAGATATTACAAAGACAAATATGGACAATGCCCTGATTCAAAATCTGGCCTTCTTAGAACCTGGTTCTACTCCCTATCTCAATACTCAGGAGAGGTAAGTGTCAGACAGTTTTTATTTGATGTCATTAAATATTGAGTTCTCTAATTCCTTCTTTCTCACCAGACAACCAACCTACTAATGATAATGTGACTTCCTATATCATGGAAAAAATGCCTTGACTGAAAGACATAGCTATATGGTTATATTCGCCATAGTTCTCATCTAAACCAGACAATTTACTTTTTTTAATTTTATATTTTCTTTGTTTAACTTAAGTATTCCCAGAGGGTTGAATATAATCTTGGTGAGCTGACAATGAAGCCTGCCAGACCATAGGACAAAGTTTGAACCAAAAGAATTTTAAACTGCTAGATTTCTTGGGATGGATTCCTCAGGTCTAGTATGACAATCCTTCTCTATCATTGTGCATTGTTCATTAGGAGCTTTTTCTTTTTCTTTTTTTTCTTTTTCTTTTTTTTTGAGAGACACAGTCTCACTCTGTCACCAGGCTGGGGTGCAGTGGCTCAATCCCGGCTCCCTGCAACCTCCACCACCTGGGTTCAAGGGATTCTCCTGCCTCAGTCTCCTGAGTAGTTGGGACTACAGGTACACACCACCACACCCAGCTAATCTTTGTATTTTTAGTGGAGACGGGGTTTCACCATGTTGATCAGGATTGTCTCGATCTCTTGACCTCATGATCCACCTGCCTCGGCCTCTCAGCGTTCTGGGATTACAGGCGTGAGCCACCGCACCCGGCTTAGCTTTTTCTATTTGCAGTTTGTATGAGTGGTTGCTACTTATTTCACATTAAATATCTGGGTCCAATTACATCTTGCCATTGCACTAATTTATAGGAATGCATCCCCTGTTACTGCATTAATGGCTATAGTCTATTCCTTCTGTTTTTCTCACTGTCATTCTTACTTAAATACTTCTTGACATGTTTCTGGCTTTTCATAACTCTATGGACCTCCCAGGTAACATAATGCCACCTGCTACTCTTTCTAACAATCAAACTTCGTCACAACTGTGTGCATTACAACTAAGAAGATCAATTTATTTTTTAGCAGTTTCACTTTGTAAGTTTCTCAAACTCTATTATCCCTCAGTCTACTTTTTCTTAGAATATGATCTCATGTCTTACTTATAATACATCCCACTTGAACTATTTTAGTTTCTCAACAAATTTATTGAGGAAACATTATTTTCCCTTGGTTATCTTTCTACATATAGAGGGCCATTTCATTCTCCAAGCAGAAGCAGTAATAAGCTATTATTTTCAAGAATTCTGCATATTTTTCTCATTTATTTTACCATAAGAGAGAAACATTTGTATTCATTGACTATCCTATTGGTTGAGTTAACTCATTAGAGAACAGTACTCACACATTGGCCTACTACTTGTTTGTTTGTTTGTTTTTCTCTCTGTCTCTCAACAGTTGCCCCATCTGCAGTGTAAAGGTTAGGTAGAGTTCACGGGCTAGAACTGCAGACCACACATTTGAAACCTTAATTCAGGCTGTTTATTCAATCCAGGTTAAACAGAAATAAAATAATATATTGTTTAAATTTTTATACCTATGTCTATTTTTTAATTGGTTCAAAACATAAAAGAGAGAAATATAATTAATTAGTACCTCTCAAGACCTCAAAAAATCATTTAATTGTAATATATGGGTATTATAATCTTGTTATTAAAATGTACACTTATAAACAGTGTAATGAGAAATAGGTACATGATGAAGAGTTAACTTATTTAATGGCAAACAACTTACTGAGTGGTCAATTTTCAAGTTCATTGATGAAACAGTTTGTATTTACAGAAAAATAACTAGATGATATATGTCCCATCAACTCTCTGTGTTATTTCTTTCTTTCTTTCTTTCTTTCTTTTTTTTTTTTTTTTGAGACAGTTTCCCTCTTGTTGCCCAGGCTGGAGTGCAATGCAATGGCGTGCTCCCAGTTCACTGCAACCTCCGCCTCCCAGGTTCGAGAGATTCTCCTGCCTTAGCCTCCTGAGCAGCTGGGACTACAGGTATATGCCACCATGCCCGGCTAATTTTTGTAGTTTTAGTACAGACAGTTTTGCCATGTTGGCCAGTCTGGTCTCGATATCCTGACCTCAGTTGATCTGCCTGCCTTAGCCTCCCAAAGTGCTGGGATTACAGGAGTGAGCCACCACGCCCAACCCTAAGTTTATATTCAAATTTAGGAGTGGAGACAATTTGTTAAATTTCAAATTGTCAGAAAAATAGGTGGAATCACCAGTGGAATATTGGGGATCTAGAAAATAAAAGACACCTCCAGAGAAGAAATAAAATTCACAAGAAGAACTTAAACAAATTTACAAGCAAAAAATAAACCACCCCCATTAAAAAGTGGGCAAAGGACATGTACAGATGCTTTTCAAAAGAAGATATACAAATGGCCAACAAACAGATGAAAAAATGTTCAACATCACTAATCATTAGAGATATGAATTGAAACAACAATGAGATACCATCTCACACCAGTCAGAATAGCTATCATTTAAAAGTCAAAAAATAACAGATGCTGGTGAGGTTGCGGAGAAAAGGGAATGCTTATACACTGCTGGTGGGAGTGTAAATTAGTTTAGACCTTGTGGAGAGCAGTGTGACAATACCTCAAAGAACTTAAAACAAAATTACCGTTTGACTCAGCAATCTCATTATTGGGTATATACCCAGAGGAATATAAATCATTCTACCATAAAGATACATGCACGCATGTGTTCATCACAGCACTATTCACAAGAGCAAATGCATGGAATCAGCCTAAATACATACGAACGTAGACTGGATAAAGAAAGTGTGGTACATATACACCACGGAATACTATGCAACCATAAAAATAATGAGATCATGTCCTTTGCAGCAACATGGAGAGAGCTGGAGACCGTTATCCTTCACAAACTAACACAGGAACAGAAAACCAAATACTACATGTTCTCACTTATAAGTGAGAGCTGAACGTTGAGTACACAAAGAAGGGAACAACAGACATGAGGGCCTACTTGAGGGTGGAAGGTGGGAGGAGGGTGAGGATGGAAAAACTACATATTAGGTAATGGGGTACTATGCTTATTAGTTGAGTGATGAAATAATCTGTACACCAAACCTCAGTAACATGTAGTTTACCTGTATAACATGTGCAAAATTACCCCAAATCTAAAATAAAAGTTAAAAAGAAAGTTGACATAGAGAGGATTGAAGGTTTATGAAAGCCACATATTGTCTGCCAATAATCAAGACTGTACATGTCTCAGTGGCAGGTCTGAATCTATATACCGTAGTTAATTTGGTTAACTTTCAGGGTTAGTAACTGCAGAGGTATAGGGTCCAAAAACCTACTATAAAAGAACACTATTAATATTTCAGTGCCTTTAGAGATCTTGTCTGTATTCTAGGTGCAGGACCAGGTCCTTGGTTTGTCCTCAGCATTCAAGAGATCTTACTGGCTATCAGATTCTCTCTTCCAGACATGCCTGCCTGTGGTCATGAATTCCAACTGAGAATTGCCACTGGTTTGTCTCCATTCTCCTCCCTATCACAAGCTGATTCCTTAAGTCACTTCTCATATAAAGTGACGTTTTCTATAGGCAACACTCCCCTACATACTTCTAATGCACTTGAGAAGGGAGACATAAGAATAAAAACTAACACTAAATATTTACTATGTTAGTAATTTAAATATCCTTATAAAACCAATCTTATTTTTACTTACACATATAAGTCAATAAATAAGATATGGGAAAATGAGAGAGCATCAAAATCCATAAATGTGAAGATAATTCCTATTAAATATTCTAGAAAAAAATCTAAGCAGCATTTTGCCATTTCTTAATTTTTCATGTTACCAGAAAAATTTTGTGATGTCACTCATTAATGATGACCGTGCAGTCACTTCAAACAAAAGCCTGTGATCATTGGAAAGAATACATACAAACAGCTGTTGAAATAGATGGTTCTCCACAGTTCATATCTCTCAGCAAACGGAAAGTTTTGATCAAGCAAAACAGACTCTCAGAATCTCTTAGTAAAGCATCACAGTTTCAGTTTTATAAATGAGTTCTTTTAGTATCATTGAAAAAAAATTTCTGCATAATAGACTTTAATATAGCCAATTGATCTATATTTGAGGCACTGTAAGGATGCATAAGTGACTTCCATCAAATTGAGATGCCTCTTACTAAAGGCTTCATTTATTAGCCACCTTTTTGGCTTTAGAGGCAAATACAAATGTATTTGTCATTTGAGTTCTAAAATAATTATGGTAAGGGTTAGCAAAATTATACATCAGTATGCTATTCTTTATATGCTTTAAAAATGTATTAAACTATAAAATGTCCAGTGTACCTTTGATAAAATTTGACATAAATATTTATTTCCATTTAGAAATGTCTACTAACAATAGTCCTGGAAAAGTTACTGCTGTAACATGTGTCTAAGATATAGTTTTGCTAAAATTGCATTATAGTTTCTCGGGGGTTTTAATGCTTGCTTTTAGATGCAATTTAGGTTAAAACATCTAGATACTATTCTTTGGTCTGACCTAATCAATTTCTAAAATATTCTATGCAGAGCCCTTTCAAAAAATGTTGAGTCAGATTCCTAAATGGTCACAAAGAGATTTGATTAATAGGTTTAAGTTCACTTTTGTGTAGAGCTTTAAAAAATAACAAAGCTTAATCACCTTAATTAACATATATCTTTCTTATACTTTTATAACAAATAAAGCATACTTGCTTTTTACTGCCTAAAATATAAAAATACATCTCCATCATCGACTAATGGTTTTGTTGATTTCTCTTAAATTCTACCCTAATCAAACACTTAAAATTGCATCTGGAATTTAAATTAATCTCTAATCCTTTAATATTTCCCCAAACTAAGAAGCATGAAGAAGGTCCTATAATAGTTCAATGGATGTCTGTCTTTCTATTTATAACTTTTAAATGTGCCAACCCGCGCTGAAAAAGATGTGCAGAAAAATTAAAATGTGTTTATTATAAACTCAGATTCTGATCTGAAACATGTGTCACTTCTCTATTTCTTGTTAGTTCATTTTCTAGGATTTCTTTTGAGATCCATTATAGAATTCTAAGTGTTGTGTCTACTGGGATTTACACCACTTGTTCAGTCTATTTATACCAAGTTAATTAAGTGATAATCCCAGAGTATCAGAGGACATATGTAGCAATAAATGCCTGCTTCACTCTCAGGCATACTGAGATCACATGGTGAGGAGTCACAGAATGGAAGACTGTTTTATTACCTAATGTCATATTCTGCTGTATAGGGAATATTGCTGTTAAACAATCTGTTCTTTTATTTTCTGGGATTTTATGCCTTCCATTGCATAAATATTATTTTGACAACTGATGTGATGCTTCTGAAACGGATTCAATCCAAAGGTATGCAGAAAAAAAATTTACATTTTGAGTAAGAGATTGGCCTCAACTTAGCAAACTAGATCAAATTTATTCTCAAAATAAATACAATAAATAAAAATACAGTCTCATTTTCTGGTTGTCAAATGAGTTCCATGAATAGATATAGAAAAACCTACTAGATGCCTTAACAATGAACTCCACATTGATGTTTTATGTGCTTGCAAACATACACACACATACGTACACACACACATACATACATACGCACAGAGAAACCCAAATTATCCATTTGCCCAAATGCCTGTGTAAATGCTTATTTATTTATCTATTTTGTCGACTAAGCAAGAAGAAAGAAAAATTCAGTGTTGTTTTATTAACACTATAGTCAGTTATGAAAGCTAAGAAATACTTGAATGTATTTATGTCTCAGAAATTCCATGAGTGATTTGTTAAAGCTATAAATTAGATGTAAAACTATTTCTAACAATTTAAAAAATTAAAAAAGGATTCGTCAACCTAGAAGGTTCATCATTACATTGAGAGTTGTCTAGTCTCCTGATGAAATAAAGAATTAGAACGAAGTCCATTCAAAGGTAACCGTAGAGTAATCCTCCTTTAAAGATGAAGGAGTTTCTTTACACCAATTTAAAATGTTGATTTAAAAAATCAAAGGAGCTTAAATGACACTAACAAGTTTATAAATGTGTGAAATTGGGAAATTTGGGAATTATTCAAGTCCTGGTTCTGCTGCTCCTAATTTGTTTTGAAATACAAAACCTTTAACCATATTAGCCATTAGTTTCTCCCTCTGTTATGTGTGTGAGGTGAGGTTAAAGTAGGTTAGCTCTTACATCTCTTCTTTTTAAAAATTATTTGACATTTAGAGTTCTTAAAAAAATCAATATCATGGTTATGATTGAGTGAAGTACAGATTTTAAACAGTTTCTTGTTTAATGAACTAAGCACTAATTTAAAAGAAGAAATAGCTCTTAAAATGAGACTGTGTATGTGTAAAATAACTAAAAACCACTTAGTCTGGGATTCCCCCATTGTAACCATGAATATTGGATTTTTGGTCTTAGGTGATTAAATATTTGTATCCATTTGATTCATATATAAGATGGCCAGAAGTCTCTGGAACAATATTAGATAAGAAGAATTGTAGAAATGGTTTGTAAGTATCATGTGTTAATATTGTGTTCTGTCATTACTGTTAGTCTTAGATTGTAAACTTTAGTAAAACAAAGACATTTTCTACCATAGTTGATGCAATACTATACTATCACCAAATAATTTCCTATCTTGATTATAAATAATGATTAAATATATTTTCTTGCATTAGACAGTATCGGACAAGCTTCTATATTGCAGATTTTTTTATCTTTTTAATTAATTAATTAATTAATTAATTTAATTTCAACTTTCATTTTAGATACAGGGGGTATACATGTAGGGTTGTTAACATGGGTATATTGGATCCAAGTAGTAAGCATAGTACCCACTAGGTAGTTTTTCAACTCTCTCCCACCTCTCCTCCTCTCCTTTTTAGTAGCCCACGGTGTCTTATTGTTCCCATTATTATGTCCATGAGTACTCAAGGTTTAGCTCTCACTTGTAAGGAAGAACACGTGCTATTTGGTCTTCTATTCCTACATTAATTCACTTAGGATTATGGTCTCCTCCAGCTCCATCTATGTTGCTGCAAAGAACATGATTTTGTTCTTTCTCATGGCTACATGGTATCCCAATGTGTTTATATACCACATTTTCTTTATCCAATACATTATTGATGAGCACCTAGGTTGATTCCATGTTTTTGCTATTGTGAATATTGCTGAAATGAACATACAAGTGCATGTGTCTTTTTGGTAGAATGATCTATTTTTTTTGAGTATATAGTCAGTAATGGGATTGCTGGGTCATATGGTAGCTCTGTTTTAAGTTCTTTAAGAAATCTCCAAATTGCTTTCACAAGTGGCTGAACTAATTTACATTCCAACCAACAGTGTATAAGCATTCCCTTTTCTCCACAGCTTCACCAACAAACTGTTATTTTTTTTACTTTTTAATAATAGCTATTCTGACTGGTGTGAGATGTTTTCTCACTGTAGTTCTGATTTGCATCTCTCTTATGATTAGTGATGTTGAGTGATTTTTCATCTGTAACAAACAGATGAAACAGGCTACTTGGGTGTCTTCTCTTGAGAAGTGTCTGTTCATGTCCTTTGCCCATTTTTTTAATGGAGTGAGTTGGTTTTCTTTTGTTGATTTGTTTAAATTTCTTACAGATTCTTGACATTAGACCTTTGTAATATTATTAGATGGACAGTTTGCAAGTATATTCTCCCATTCTTTAGGTTGTCTTTTTACTCAATTGATGGTTTTTAATGTGCAGAAGCTCTTTGGTTTAATTAGGTCCCACTCATCAGTTTTTGTTTTTGTTGCCATTGCTTTTGGGACTTAGTCATAAATTCTTTGCTGATGCTAATGTTGAGAAGACTTATTTCCTAGATTTTCTTCTATGCATCTTATAGTTTGAGGTCTTACATTAAAATCTTTAATCCTAACATCACATCAATAAATATATTTTATTTCTGTTATGATGCCATGAAATGTGAGGCACAAAATAATGTTTGCAGGTCTTTATTGAGTATAGATGTAGAGTAATGTCATTTCTAATGTGTCTTTGTGAATCTTCTCACCAGAATGTAAATTCCATGAAAGCAGAGTTATTATTATTATTATTTTTTTTTTTTTGAGATGTAGTCTCGCACTGTCACCTGAGCTGGAGTACATTGGCGCAATCTCGGCTCACTGCAACCTCCACCTCCTGGGTTCAAGAGATTCTCCTGCCTCAGCCTCCCAAGTAGCTGGCATTACAGGTGCCCACCACCACACCCAGCTAATTTTTTGTGTTTTTAGTAGAGACAGGGTTTCACTAAGTTGGCCAGGCTGCTCTCAAACTCCTGACCTCATAATCCACCCGCCTCAGCCTCCCAAAGTGCTAGGATTACAAGCGTGAGCCACCATGCCTGGCTGAAAGCAGAGTTTTTTTAAAAAAAATTTCTGTCCTATTTTTGCTGTATTCCATGTATTCCATGTATGTACAGCATGTCTGCTGCATAGTAAAGACCTAATTAATATGTAATGAATAAATGAATCTCCTTAGAATATTGCTTTCAGTTTTTCCATGCTTAGACATTTAAAAAAATGCAGTTAGAGGAAATAAAATGACTGAAATAAATTTGCTCAGAAAGAAAAATTGTAAAATGAAATTGATTTATTGATTCAAAAATCGTTTCATATCCTGGGATGTTATGTAAAATATATTATGTATCAAAAGAAAATGAAAACAATGTTCAATGTTTGTTGGCCTTTTAATTAAGAAAACAGAACTTATTTGACTCACTAGTTACAGCAATTACAGAATGGAATCCACTACAATGCTTTCATATATTATAATTAGTTTGACTTGACTTTCACCTCCTCTCTCAAAACCAAGCTAGATATGTGCTTATACTTTAGCAAGAGGAAATAGGATCCCAGTGGTGGAATGACTCATCAATATTGTATAACACCGAGTTAGTAAAGAAAAATAGTTAGAATTAAGGTAGTTTGAATTCTGTTTGGCATTATTTACATATTAAAGAAATAACAAGACCATAGAGTTGCAAACAATCATTTTGATACAATAATGTCATCTCTCCTGCCTCTCTCTCCCCAGCAGAAACTAACAGCTTTAGCACTGGGTTGTTTGACATTTTCTGAGTGATGACATAACAGAAATGTTGAGCAAAACAATGAATGAATTTTTGTTTTCAGAATTTCAAAATAGGTTTTTGAGACTTGTGGCCAAAACTGTATGATGAGAAGAAATGGTTTGTATTCTAAGAATTCTGTCTAGAAAAGACCCACTGACAAAAAAATAAAAATAAAAATAAAAGAAGAAGTAAAACAGGATAATTAGGTGCTGGTGTCTATATTTGATGATGTCATATTTAATTGTAAGATCTTAATTTGTAAATAAAAATAGCTGATTGCCAAAGAACTTTTAGAGTATGACCATATTTGCATTTTCAAATATAAATGAATAGGGCTACCAATATCCACTCAGGGAAGTAGAGAGATGAAAGGAGCACATCTCCCATTCTTACACTAAAAAAAGGGTCACATGTTGAAATACGTATTATTACTCCAAGCTTACACGTAGGGCAATGAAAGCTTAGAGAGCTTGAGGCATGTTCATGGTAGTCCAAGTGTCACGTGACAAGTCATTTACTAAAGTGTCTCTCTTAACACTCAACTTCTGACTCAGAAAGGATAATAATAATGAATTAGCAATGGTAAATATATAAATTTTATAGTTCCTATAACTCTCAAAGTCAAAAATGTCAAATCTTATCTTGTACCACTGTCACCCATATGTTTTAAAGCCATCAGAAAATTCATACACAAGTTTTCATTACTTTTCTAAGACTAAAGCCCACTATAATTAAACATTATTATTTCCAGCAAAAAGATAAGTATGTTAAATAAAAATGTGTTGGCGACTTAAATTCAGAATCAACATGTATTCCCACATGTTCATTTAGCTAAACATTTTCTGTTTTTGTAAGCTTAGACATTTTTACTCCTGCACTTTCCCTGTTCCGTATCACACCAAGAAAACAACAGTGTCTATGTGGGAACCTCACAAAACAAAAGTATCAACAGCTCCTTGAAACTTACTTTCTGCTCATTACAACATTTCAGTGTTGATTCTTTTAACTGCTCTTCCTTTTGTCTATGGGTGACACTTTCTATTTCTACATACACAGTATGTTATTTTTCTTTAATTTTATGCTGGCCATCATGGATTATATTATTTAGTGTTTGAAGTATTTTGTCACCCGTTAAAAGGCAATGCATTTTGTTTTGTCATGTATTTCAATTACTGGCCTATACTTTGGTCCTATCAGATTTGATTTTGTCATTGCTAAGAACATTCTATTCCTGTTTTGTACTTAGCATTTACAACACGCCACTTACTGCATAGTGTGGTCCTGACTTGTAAGCAATGGCATTTTCTGGAGTCTCAGCTACATGCTCAATGTGCTCAGAGGGTGCAGGGCAGATCATTCCATTCTGGCTGGGCTGACACTCTGTTTATCTGAAGTTAATCACTGAGCCCCCACCCAAGGACCTATGATGATTCATTACAAAGACTTCCAGAGCCCCTTCTCTGGAAGAGAGCCCTCATCTTAGATAGCCAGAGCTGTATATTTCAGCTGCTGCACAAGCCAAAAAATCTAATACCTTCCTCCTCAGCTCAGCAAAATCACTGTTATTTTGCCTCAATATTTTGCAGCAGAGGAAAGTCTCTAGGCAGAAACCAGGGACCACCATGCTACAGTCATCTGGTTCACCTTGTGTATTTTCCTTCTCCCCATGATCACAGATCTCTGCTTATTGTTTCATTCCTGAAATGTTGTCTCTCATGTATTTTATAATTTTCTGCAGTAGTTATCATGAAGGGATCACATGTCTTGTACCATTTTTCTCTGTCATGACTGGAAACAGAGGTCCCAACAGAGTAAAACATAACAAACAAAAATTAGTCATATTTCCTCCTTGATTATTTCATTGTATACCCATTGTGCTTAGATTAAATCTATATTCTTTACCAAGGCCTACTTCCTTCACTCAAGACACACTGATTTTTTTTTTCTAGACCCTGCATACACACAGCTGGTCGTGAAATTGTAGGAGCAAAATGATCATACCTTTTTGCCATGTATCACAAGGGTCATGGTTAACACTTCTATAACATAAGACAGATTATAAGAGAAAAAATATTTTTAACAGTTTTACCTGACATGGTAGTCTTTAGAAATGAAGATTAAAAGACCCAAGGAAAACTGTATTTTATGCTTAGTTCAATGAAGAATGGGCATCATATAGAAATATAATTGCACAAAAAAGGGTATTATCTTGGTTGGGTGTGATGGTTCACATCAGTAATCCCAGTGCTTTGGGAGGCCCAGGAGGAAGGACTGCTTGAGGCCAGGAGTTTGAGGACAACTGGGCAACATAGGAAGACCCTGTCTCTACCAAAAAAAAAAAAAAATGGGGAAGAGGTATAATCTAATGGTAATAAATTGAGGAGGATAACTCAACAAGACCTATCTGTTCAGATTATTCTTGGCTTCTCCTGAAGCATTCCTTCCTCTGGATATAGGAGAGGACACCTGTCTCTGGAGGATCTTCAGAGGAGAAGGGACAAAGTCAGGGAGTGACATTTCTAGATTTTACAACTTAGTTTGAAGGAGAGAATTTCTAGTTTCTATGAATTGTCATGGGGAAGAGGAATTCTAGTTTCTATGACTCACTATTGAAGAGGAAGAGGGGCTGGAGACAGGAGGGTGAGAGAAGGTCAGAGAAAACCATTGCTTCTGAGGTCTTTCTAGTATCCTTCAATTCAAAATACTCAGAATGCCAAAGCACCCTGCTCTGAGGTATTGTGTTATGAGCCCCAACAACACCATCTCAACATCTTGACAAAGGATGTGCCCTCTGCCTGAAATGATTTTTTTCTGTTTCTTTCTACTAATTCTTTCTTTAATTTTCAGTAAAAATTCTACTTCCTTTTAGAATACTTCCCTGACCACCTATGCAACATATACCTCTTTTTTCATAATCATATTTCTTTTTCTTTTTAGCCCTTACTGCTATGTTAATCAAATATTTATGTGGGTGTTTATCAGTACAGCATGTATAGCTGGAGACCCAGAAGAGCCCATGGTGTAAGTTCCAGTCCTAGTCTAAATCTGAGCCTGAAGGCAGGAGAAGCCTGTTGTCCCAGCTTGAAGACAGTAAGGTAGAGAGAGAAACAATTCTCCCATACTCAGCCTTTTTGTTCTACTCAGTGGATTGGATGAGGCCCAAACACACTGGGGAGGGCAATCTACTTCTCCAGTCTACAGATCCAGACATAATGTCATACAGAAACACCCTCACAGAAACTCCTAGAATAATCTTTAACAAAATATCTAGGTATCTCAGGGCCCAGTTAAGTTGACACATCAAATTAACCATCATACTCAGAAAGTGTCTGCCAGAGGAATAAAAGAAGTTGAGATGTAAAGGATGCAGGGTTAGTAGTACAGAAAGTGATGAAGAGCATTCTGGACAAATGAGACTCTCCATGCAAAGTTGTGAACATATGAAAGAGTTTGATGTACTAAGAAAATGAAAGAAGTTAAGGGACCTGAAGCCAAGTGAGTCAGATGGAGAGTGTTGTGATAAATTCTGAGTGATTGCAAAGGGGCCAGATGATGTAGGACCCCATTGATTTTTGCTATTCAAAATATATTTCTCAAGTCCTCAATATGGGCATTCCTTAAGATGAACTCAGAACGTACAGCCTCAAGACTCACCCTAAATAAATATTATCAGAATCTGCATTTTAATAAGATCCCAGCATAAAACATATCTCAGATATATAAACTTGATAGGACCTGGAGATGGACTATATATTGGTAATGATTGGTCAAGGACAACTCCCAAATTACATACTTTGATCAAATGGTTAATAAATAAGCCTTTAAGAAAAACAGCACTGTAGGAAGGTCAAACGTGGCAGATGGGGTAAGTATGTGTATATATGTACACATGAGTGTTTGTGTTTTGTGGAAGATGAAGGTTTCCAGTTTTGCCTTGCCATGTCTGAATTGACTAAGATACATCAAGTAAATAGTAATGAGAATCTAAAATATAACTTTAGAAATAATAATTTAAGAAAAAATTAAGAGATTGAACTATTGAAAATAAAATACTAATTCAACATAGAAAAAAAGGGGAAAAGAGTGATCAAAGATGACTCCAAAATTTTCATCCTGTATAATTAGAACAAGGAGGTGCTAACAGATAGGGAATGCAGAAAGATGTTTAAGTACCTACTCAATATGCTGGAAATAATGAGTTTGAAAAGATAACAGGATACTCATGTAAAGAGATGATTTATTTATATATATATAATGATTTATTTATATATACACACATATATATATATAAATGTATATATGTATGTGTATCTATAAACACATATATGTGTAAAAGTGGACCGCAGGATGTTAAATCAGAATTTAAATCTTTAGAAGCTATATGCATGACAAAAATAGTTGGACTGTGAGCATAGAGCTCCATCTTTTACTGGCTCTGTTGAATTCTGTTTCCATTCAGTGGGATGAATTCATTAAAGTCAATACCTCACCTAAAAAAGCTGACTGGTCATTCCTCAACTGGTACCCAGCCCTGGAAGCTATATTGAGAAAACATACAAACAATAGCCATGAAAAGGAGTGAGATAAGATATTAGTTTGAGTGCTTAGGAGATTCTTTTTATTTCCCCTAATAGAAAAATCTCTACAGTTTTGAAGGAAAAAGAAATTACTTGATACAATGAGATAGACTGAAATTGTATGAGAAAGAGGAATAAAAACTAATATGGCATGACCCTCGTCCTGGTGCAAAAATTGCCTGGAGATTAAGATAAGAGAGATTAGCACTGGAGAAAAGAAAGGATGATTTTCATACAGACAGCCCCAGTACAGCCAGTTAAAATAATAAAATACATTCTCATAGGTTGGCAATTTGCCTTTGCTTTGAGTTCTCAGAGGATGGTTACTGCCACACATACTCATATCCCAGCTGCTTCTGCCCATGCCCCAACTTCTAGGATCAAACAATTAAAGCTTGAATCAGTAGCAGATTGTGTTTGTAACCACTGCTATTTGTGTCCTTTCTGATTGGTAGGTGCTCATGGAAGATGGGCTGGCTGGCCCTCGGTCTGCAGGTACCTAGCACAGTGAGACCAGGGAGAGGTGAACAGCTGACATGGCACCTCATATGAATAATGGCATGCAATGCAACTGGAAGGTACTTATTACACCTAGAGAACATCCAAATCTTTTGGTTATTAACAATATTAAACATATTAATAAAATGTGATCCCTCATTAGGCCATGCCCTTGAGAAAGGAAAATAAATCTTGGGGCTCCAAAGTCACTAAGCTAAAGGGAAAAGTCAAGCTGCGAGCTGCTTGGGCAAACCTGCCTCCCATTCTATTCAAAGTCATCCCTCTGATCACTGAGATAAATGCATATCTGACTGCCTCATTTGGAGAAGCTAAACAGAAACTCAAAAGAATGCAACCATTTGTCTCTTATCTACCTATGACCTGGAAAGCCCCTCCCCACTTCCAGTTGTCCTACCTTAGCTTTGAGTTGTCCCGCCTTTCTGGATAGAAGCAATGTTCATCTTACATGTATTCATTGATTTTTCATGTCTTCCTAAAATGTATAAAACCAAGCTGTGCTCACACCACCTCGGGCACATGGCATCAGGACCTTCCGAGGCTGTGTCACGGGTGCATGTCCTTAACTTTGGCAAAATAAACTTCCTAAATTGACTGAGACCTGTCTCAGATATTCGGGGTTCACATCCTAAACATATATTAGCTCATTTGAGTACTATAATTACTCGATTATATTGAGTACTATAATTTTACAAATGAGAAAATGAAGAATATTGAGATTTAAAAACTGCAGTGACAGAGCTTCTATTTGAACCTTCGCAACGAGTAACAGAGCCCCTACTTGTGATTATACTAATGCCACTAATCTGTTCTGAAGGAAAAGGTTCAACTCATTTATAGGTTCCCTGCCAATAAATGAGTTATGTGCATTGTTAATAATAGAAATAATTAACACATTAAAATATTGGGCATAACTATAAGGAATAGAGAAAGAGTGACTTTAATGGTTGCTAATTCAACAGTGGCTAAGACAGGGTTTAGTACCATGAAGAAACATCCTTGATCATGGGCATGATGAAGATGAGTTTGACAAAACTGCAGGTAATCCTTAATATGCGAAAATAAAATAATGAAGGACTCATTTTAAATGGACACAAGTTTTGTTTATATAAAGTTATGAAGTCATCTGAAGAAAGAAGAAACAGTTCAGAGAGGAACTAGAAAGTTTTGGAGGTGGTGTGCAAGTGAGTGATGGGGAACATTTCAAATGCTTTATCATGTACTAGCTACTTTCAATTGTGAAGGAAGTATAATAAAGAAAATGGCATTCTTTCCTCTTTGTATGTATCCTAGAAAGGGAATGTGTTAAAGTGCGTATTTTATGCATTGTGTAAGATTGGAAAAAAAAGTATAGAAATAAACTATAATGACACCTAATAAAAGTAGGCATTTAACCCATATTTATGCCTCCAAGAGCTTTGTTAAACCCAACATACTGACGTTGCTTATGACTTTGATACTTGCATGGAGTATTCAGGTTTTTTTTTCAACAAATAGCACCTTACATTATTAAACCACTTAGCCATTTTCACAGCCCAAATGTACCTCTAAAATTATATTGTGAGGTGTCATATGTTCACTTAAAGGAAGAAAATGTCGTAGGCTGGATTAAGTAGGATATGAATGAGCAAGCAGAATAAACCAGTAAAATTTAATTAAGCAATTTAGCACTCCATAAAAGCAGCAACACATAAAAGTGAGACATAAATGACAGGGGCAGTTGCACTGCAATTCTAATCTTTTAGGAACTTAAAAAGGAGCACTGTGCAACAAGCAGACATTCTTTTTCTACACAAAGTAAATTTAAACACAAGTATTAATAGTAATTGAAGCGGCCTTTACATATGGAAATTCTGTGCATTGTATTCTTTACTTTGGCTTTGTGCAGGTGAAGCAAAAAGAATAGGCAGAAAAGTAACTTCATATGCAATAAAGACATGACTGTAAAACTTATACTCTTCCATTTGCTACAATTAGACAGGCAAACTGAGGAAGAAATTCATTTGTAAACAGTCCAATTTTCAAAATCATATGCCTGCCACATACTTCCATTAAATAATTCTAATGAGATGCTGAAAAAAACTAGGAGCCCAGAGGTGAGAAATATAAGGCACCTCTGCATTAAAAGGACTGAAAGGATGAACAGTATCCTTTGCTTCCATAGCAACCGTTTCAGGAATCTGACTTGTATTTTTATATCTCAGGGTTATTGTGATACCATATTTCTTTTAATTAAATCAAACTTCATTGTCAAGGTACCTGTAAGCTGGCCATTTCTAATCTTATTTCCAGTTAGCTTCCAAAACTTTCCCGAGAATTTCCTTCAACTGAAGCTATTTTAAATGTTAAAACATCTAAATTCAAAATTCAAAATTCAAAATTGAATCCTTTAATATTCAACCATGGACTTTATCTCAGGCTCTAAATGACATATTCCATAGGATCTACGAAATTACATTTTATTTGTATACATTCTTTAGCTACTTTTTTCCCTGATTCTTTTTATTTTATAACTTAAATATTATATAACTATATATCATATTGTATATGTTATAATTTATTTTAATTTATAATTTAATTTGTTTCTTTAATAACATATATTATTACAAATTACTCCAAATATTTATCATAGAAGACAAATAATAAGAAAGTGGGTAACAGTGAAAATATAGAATTTCAAAGTATATCAATTAACATCAAATTCATTTTACTTCCTTACCAACAGTGGAAGATTTTTTAGAGAAGACCATATATTTTTCTTCCACTATCTTATGGGCCTTAACATAATCATAAGCACACAGTATATATCATTTAGCTTATTCTATGAATCCTATCTTTCATGTCTTTTTAAAATTTGCACACCTTATTTTTCTTTAACTTATCTTTTTACCAATTCTATCTTTTAAATGTATTTTAATATATTATTTAAAATCAATTCCACATGCAGAAAAGTTGCAAGAATGGTACAAAGAGCTCACAAGACCTCTTGTTTTGATTCTTTCTTATTCCTCAATTGTTAGCATTTTACCATGTTTGCTCCATCACCCTGTCTCTCTTGGGAGCATCGTGTAGACACAATCCCTCATTATTCCTAAATACTCCTGTTTGCATGTTAGAAAAAAAGACATTTTACTACTTTACCACAAAACAACTGCAATGCAACAATTCAAATATGAGAATTATTGCAATGCTAGCATCCAGTTTATATACCTCCATTAAATATTGTTAACTGTCCCAACAATCTGTATTGTTGCTTTCTAGTCTAGGAACCTGGATAGGATAAGTTTTCTTGTCTCTTTTGTCCCCTTCAGTCTGCTACAGTTTCTCAATCTTTCTTTGTCCATCATGAATTTGACAGCTGCAGAGAATATAGGTCTTTCGTGTTTTATTTTTCATTGCCTTTTGATAACTTCTATGTGGGGGATACTCCTAAGAAAGTCCTATCATTTATTTTTCATATGCAATACCTGTTTTTCATCAAATCTGTAACCACCAGATCTAGCATTCATTAATGACTTCTTTCTGAATTAACCACCAAAATGAGAGTTGCCAAAGTATGATTTTCTATTTCCATCATTCCTTTTAAATTTATTTAGTTGGTATTGTACTCTAAGGAAGAGCTTTATCTTCCTCCCTATTTATTTATATGTTATTTATAGTTGTCTGAACTCCTAGCTTGACATTTTATTCATTGAATGCTAATTCACTATTTTTGATATTTTACGCTAAAATTGCATCAGTTTTGGCCAGAGAGAGCCATTTAAGACTGACTCCTGTGTCCTATTGTCACCCCCTCATCAATCTTGTAGTAACTCTTTGCTTTCTCACCCAATAAGATTTTCCAGGTTTGTCTTCTTGTTCTGCCTCAGTCTTAATACTTACCATTTTCCCAAGGAGCCCTAGTTTTTCAGTTAACGATGGTACCGAGAAACCAAGATCTGAGTCCCTAGTGTGCTTATTCTCCTGAAGAATCACTGCTCCTTGTGTCTTCTCAGTTGACGAACAAATGGAATGCATATATAATTGTGTGTGTGAGATACAGAGGCACATATACAGACACACACACACACACATACACACATATATATATATATGTTTGTATTGATTTCTACATCTTTATATCCATTTATTTTTTTCAAGAACATAAGTTCACAACTGTATGTCTATTTCCAGTCTAATGCCATAGGTTCTTTCTGTCATTTCTTTCTATATTTGTAAATCCTCTTCTAACAAAGAAAAACCTGGCCCCATTATCCACACAATGTTTATTAGTTGTTTACTCTTCTGTATGTAACCCATTTCCCAACACACCCACTGTCTGCTCATCCCAGCCCAACTGTTGCTTTCATAGTTGTGTTTCTTCTTGAACCCTGACAAAAGGGAAAAAGGAAGAGGACAAGCTCTTCTACCTTTTTTAAGGATAATTCAAGCAAGCTGTTCTTCTATGCATTTTTTTGTTTCTTTTATTTTTCCATGCTCATTATTTATTTATTCATTCATGTGGAAAATACTTAAGCTCCCATCCTATGCTCAGCACTCTTCTAGCCCAGGGATTAAGGAGTGAAAAAAAATTATCTAATTGCATGAACTCATATTCTAAAAAACAACAACATATTTAGTTAATTTTTTTAAATTATAAATGTCATTTTACTGAAGAAAATTAAAGTCTTTGAATAACAAATAATGCTAAGTTTGCCTTGAAAATTATTTTTGAATTTTTGTCGCATCCCCATGCTGTATTATTCCTCAGAGACACCTGCTTTCATTAGTTTGGTGTGCAGTGTTTGAAACATTTTATAATGTGTATACACACACACACATATACACAAAACATGCACATATTGACAATATGTTTACACACACACATACACACATAACACACACATTGACAATGTAGAATGCCATGTTCTATGTTTACTTTTGCTTTTTTACAGACATTATATTCCATTGCATAATTCTGAAATGTGCAGTCTTTTTGTTTGTTTGTTTTTGTTTTTTTTTTTTTCCTTTTTTTATTATTATACTTTAAGTTTTAGAGTACATGTGCACAATGTGCAGGTTAGTTACATATGTATACATGTGCCAGCAGTCTTTATATTATCAATCTTTTCATGTTAGTAAATGGACATTTCCCTCATTTTTTAAAACTGTTCCTTAGTATTTCATAAATACATAATGTTATAATATATTTATAGGTTTATGAGCCACTTATAAATACTTTCTGTAAATATCATAAGTTTGCTCCTTTACTTAAATGCTTTTTTTATCTTTCACTTATTGAATTGTATTAATTCTTTATATGTTCTTGAAACAAATATCTGCTTTTTTGTGATTTAAAGATTTCCTGGTGTAATTTAACATATAGACAATAAATTTTATATCATCTAATATTTCCATATTATATTTTTCTGTTATGAAAAGCTTTCTTACTCTAAATATTATATTGATGTTTTCAGTATGTTCCCAGACTTTTAAAATTGATACTTCTCATGTATAGCTATTTATTTGTTATATTTTATGGAATTCAATAATGATCTCTGGTTTTCAAATTTTACATTCATAAAAGTTTTTTAGACTTCTTATTAGTTTTATTTTAAGTATAATAATTATTTTAACTATCATAATGGCATTTTTCTATTAGATTTTCTGGGGGTTTTTAAGTTATAATTTTAGAAAAACATTGATTTTTATATGTGATATCTTATATCCAACACATACGAGACTTTTTCTAGTTCTCGGTTTTTTAAATTATCCTAGGGTTTATAGTTAAAAGATCAGATTTTGTGCAATAATAAAGTTTACATAATATTGGCAAATGTTTTCATCTCTCATTTATTTTTCTTGTTTTATTGAATTGGCTGAAACTCTCACTAAAATATAAAAGAGGCATTTCTAAATTTTACACTTTAATGGAACCACTTTTTGGCTTGACCTTTAAATGCCATATTTACTAATATCTTTTTTAAGTTAAGAAAGCTTTCTTTTATTCTTAATTTGTTCTTTTTGGCACCAATTAAAATAATCATGGATTTCATCCTTTCTATTGCCTGTGTAATGAGTTTTACTGACAGATTTTCTAATGCTGCATTATTCTTGCATTGCTAGAATAATTCCTTCATTGCCATGACTTTTCCTTTTTCTATAACAGATGGAAAGGAAATATCACCGTTTCATTGTTGTTGTTGTTCTGGTTACTTAAACAGCTGATTATCAGAATTTTTTTCTCATTGCATTTTGAAAATATTCTTTTCTACATAGTTTCTGTTTTTGAGGTTTTTTGCTAATTATTTTCTAATGGAGGGAAAAAACAATCAATTTTCTTTGTTTTCTTCAAAAAGTGCATTGTTCAGCTATATGCTATGCCTCCTTGTAGTTACATTATTTGTTTCTTGCTTCCGATATGTTCACAGCAATTGTTATTAATTTCTAAAATGAAGTTACTGAATATACATTGATTGCCTGAATAAACATTTCAATCATTGATTGATTGATGAATGTGGCCACTTTTGACTTCATTGTTTCCTACCCTTAGTACCAGTTAATTAATCTCTTCTCAAGGTCATATAAAGCTAACATTGTCCAACCACAAGCAATTAAAACTGTAGGTACTACTCATTTTACTACTGCAAGTGGCTGAATCTCAACTTATAGCAGCCACAGCAATACAGTTAATGTATTGGCATAAATTATTAGAACTGTGAAAGGAAGGCTGTAGCCCCAGTTATGAGTGGATGCAGGAATACAGTCAAATAGCATCATGGTTTATATTTTTTCTCCATTTCTGCTTACCTCCATATGAACCTACTCTCAGTAAAGCTCTACTCACTTAGTCGCAAATGGCTTGCTAGGAGTCACATGCTCACATCCTACAAAATGAACTATATTAAAAGAAAATAACGTTTCTTCCCCAACAGGTCACAAGTTCTTTAAGTTCTGGGTTGGATAATTGCCCTTGCTTGAAATAATCATTGAGACTGGAGAGTGGGGTTATCTCATTAGCTAGATGTGGCACCTATGCCACTACTTTTACTGGAGGTGGAGGGAAGGGAAAATATGTACTCAGTCCAGTGCAAAATACATGAATAATTACCCACAGCAAAGAAAGGGGTTGCATTTGTAGAAAAATAAGTGGAAAAGAAAAGGCCAGACTTTTCTTTTAGCCAACACTAAATGTTTCCATTAGCCAACACTAAATGTTTCTATCTTGAGTATTGTTCCACATGATTTGTATATATAACTGATTTACTCCCCTCAACAACTCTATGAGAAATATGCTCTTTATACATTTACACAATTTTACATATTCTACATTCACAGAAAAATTTGCAAAGATAGAACATAGATTTCCAAACATCTCTCATCTAGTTTAGCATTTTACATTACTATACAACATGTGTCAAAATTAGGAAACTGACATGGGTACATTACTGTTAACTAAACCCCAGCATAAATTAGAATTCACTTTTTATGATGTACAATTCTATAGGTTTTTACAAATGCGTGAAACCATGTATCCGCTATTCCAGTACCATAAAAAATAGTTTCTTTGCCCTAAAATTTTTCTTATACATTTTCTCATATTCAACAGCTCTTTCCTTCCCGAAATCCTTGTCTTCTACAATTTCTACCTGTCTCTATTATTTTTGCTTTTCCCAAAATATCATGCAATGGAATCAGGAAATATGCCAGCTTTTGGGTGTATCCTATTTCAATTAGTGAACTGTATTAAACATTCATTCATTTTGTTGCATGAGTGAATAGCTCATTCCTTTTATCTTTAAATTGCATTCCATTATATGGCTCAACCATGGTTTGTTTATCAATGTACTTATTGAAGGACATATACCTTGTATAGATGCAAAATGTATAATATATTTTCTTCACCCATCACAAGAGTCATGGCCAACACTCCTAAGACAGACAGATGAACAAGATAAAAGCATAACAAATTTATTTAACAAAGCTTTATGTAATATGGAGCCTTCGAAAATAAAGACCCAAAGGCTCAGGGAAAACTCTATTTTTAAATTTAGATTTAATGAAGAATGGACATCCATGTAGAAATGTGATTGGGCAAAAAGGGTATGATCTAATGGTGACAAACTGGGGGGACCATAGGAAAGTCTGTTTGTTCAGATTATTACTGGGTTCTCTGTGTAGCATTCCTCCCCCAGTCCCACACCAGTATAGGGAAGAACCCTTCTGGAATGAGGGTCTGTGGCCTACTTTCAAAGGAAATAAGTCAGAGTGGCATGTTTACATTTTATGGTTTGCACTATGGGAGAGGAGTTCTAGTTTCTATAATTTGACTTAGGGAAGAGAAATTCTACTTTCTATTACCATTTTTAGGGGGAGAAACAGGAAAGGAGAATGGAGAGTGGGAAAAGTTTAGAAAGAACTTCTTGCTTCTGAGGCTTTCCAGTCATGTTCAGTGCAAAATATTCAGCATGCCAAAGTGTCACACATAAGGGTTCTGAGTTCCAACGCTTGGTTCAAGTTTTTGACTATTACAGATAAAGCTGCCATTGACATTCCCATTCAGAATGTTTTGAGAATATAAGTTTTAAAATGCCTTGGATAAATAACTAATATTGTGATTGCTGGTTGAATGGTAAGTGCTTGTTTAACTTTATAAACATTTGCCAAACTCTCTTCTCAAGTGGCTCTACCACTCTACCACTTCATCATTCCATCAGCAGTGAATGACAGTCCTTGTTATTTCTCATCCTCACCAGCATTTGTTGTTGTCAGTTTTTTTCCATATTAGCTATTCAGATAGATGAGCAGTTTTTTATCTATGTCTCTTTGGGGTTTTAATTTGCATTTCCTAATGACAAATGATGTTGGACATCGTTTTATGTTCTTATATGCCATCTGCATATCTTCTTGCCATCTGTATGTTTACCCTATGTGGTAGTTTTTAATCTTATTATTAACTCAATTTTACATATGATAAAATTGATATTCAGAGCAATTAATGACTTGCTCTACGTAGCTGGTAAGTAGAGCTGAACTCTACTGGTCTACTTTCAAGTAACATATCTATACAAATGATACCAACCCAATTATAGAAATAGCATTGCACTCTATGATACACTATTATATTCTATTCTTATCATATCTTAAAGAAACAACATGCAAAACAATAAATCAGAAAAAAATAAGGTATAAAAACTTGCACAGTTAAATCTAAATAATAATAAATAATATATTATTAAGCATATTTAGCAACAACATATAAGAATTAAGTTAACATAAGCAGCTACTGCTTTGCAAGAGTGCTGTATATTCAGTACTTTGACTTAAGTTCTATATTTTTAGTGACTTTTGAGAAAAGTATTAAAATAATTATCTATATGATGCTAAATGGTATGCTTAAGTAACATTATATTTATTTCTGGGCATCTCCTGATGATATTTGCAACCCCAATACTCTGTTTTTTCTTCTGTTTCTTTTGTCTGGGCATTTATAATGTGATATATGACTAAAATATAATGCAAATTTTGCCAGTGCCTGCTCACCTTGAGATGTGATGGTACTACCAGTTTTTAATTTTATGTTTGTAAAATGAGGGGCACACAATCATACATGTACATAGGCTATGTTCACCTTTATGTAATTTAAATAAGGGCTCAGAATGAATTTTATTTTTATTTTAGTATTTTCACTAAAATACTTTTATTTATTTTTATTTTAGTGTCTTCATATATTGACATTGTGGCAATGTATAACTTATATGCTAATTAGCTTAAGTTTAAAAAGTAAGTTTAGTTCTCTTGGTAGATTTTTCTCATGCTATCTTCTCATTGTAACTTTTAAACTAAATTACAAGATGTTTCTCTGATACCTATAAGCTACAGTCACTATTTTTGTTTAAAATGCTAGGATTGTACAGTAGTCAGTTGCTCTGGATCATATGCTTTTTTGCAAGAAAATATTTGATTATTCTATGTCATTGTATTCTTAAAGTTTTAATTGTTAATTATAGCTATTAAAACTTCTCATTAAATTTTGTTTAAATCTAAAATTGATTCTTCCCCGATTTATTAAATTAAGTGTTTTTTTAACACATATACTTCATAGATAAGAACCATTTTAATATTTTATAATATGCTCAAAAACTGAGCAAAAATATTTACCAATTGTCTAAATTATAAATTTCTTTTTTCTCAAGTGTATACATTTTGGTCTATCCACTGATGAGAGAAATAATTAATAGACATTACTCAATAAGGAATTATGAATACAATAAGTTTATCATAGAATTGTCCGCATTTTATGAAAAAGATATCAACTAAACATTTTATTTTAAAAAGTATGAAATTTTTCCATGAAAATTCAAATCTTTGCAGAACAATTATATTATTTTTAGAATTTTTCTCTCTCATAGTTAACGCTACCTTATTAGTTTGGGGTTATTTGTTTTGATCAGTGGGAGATTAGAGTGAATAAATGCACATAAAGGTCTCTGATGTACAATATTTCCTAAACTCTTTTAGATGTTGCAATAACACTACATTGACTCTCTATGAAAGTTCTAACGTTTTTAAAATTAACACATAGCAACCTGTATTTTGGAACAGAGCTGCCAACTGCTTTGAAATATATGTGTGTCTGTGTCCCTGTGGGGGTGTGTGTGTGTGTGTTTCCCTAATGTGTACACAACCACACATACACAATTCAAAGTGTGTATCACACTTCATTTTCTTTGTGTGCCACAATCTATTATATCAAGTACAAACAGAAACAAATTTAGCTCTGAAAACATTTATTTGCAAATCACCATTGACTATAAGATATACAACACACTATAAAATTTGGTCAATGATTTGTTATTTTGGTCATTTGTATATACTCTCTTCAGGAAGAGAATTAACTACTTTATTGCTAGTTTAGATTAGTTTTCCTTTTTGGTCTATTACTTTCCTGAGAATATATGCCTTGTGCTTATGTAATAAGAAATAGAAAATTAAAATGCTACAGATATGGATATATTTTATTTTTTCAAAATCTAAATTAGTCTTCTAAGGTACAGTACAAGACAATAAGTCTATGTTCAGTGAAATATAGTTGAATAGATTAAGGTGAATGCTGTTTGCTTTCATGTACCTTAAGGAGAGGATACAAAATACCCTAGGATTTGGGAGAAAATATTAAATAAGTGGTAATGAGAGCCAATCAAACCACAGTTAAATGCCATTAAGAACATTCTCATTGCCAATGAAAGCAAACAAATATTTAGATCTTGATGTATTATTTTACCTTACCAAAGAATGGGGATAATTGTTCCCTTCTCTCCAGTGAGTTAAAAAAATAACTAAAAAACAATATGTGACACTAAGGAGATTTTTTTTAAGTAGCAGAATTAGAAAGTATAAGTCAGAGGTATAAATATAGGAAAAGAACTACAAACTTCTCAAAGAACAAGAACAAGGTGACACAAGTGTGTGAAGTCCTTGGGGACATAAAAAGATGCTGCTATATACTTAACACACAGTTTCTGCCAGTAATAGTGTGTTATTTTCAGAGAATTTCTGCTTACTTGTAGTGGAAGGGAAGAGATGTTTGGTTGGGAAATAGAAAGGTAGAGTGTGTTCACATTTAATATCACATTGCTCAAATAAAATTTGAATGAGAGTCTCACAATGTATATACCTGCATCAATCAATTATATACTAGCCAAATTACCTGGTAAAGCCACAAAATCCTCAACCTTATAATTCAGATAATATTTACCACTTAAGGTAGTTATGAGAATTAAATGAAACAATAAATAAAGATGCCTAGACACATGAAAGTATTCAATAAATTTTTTCTTTTCTTTTTTCCCCTAATTTTCTCTGGTTTTATTTTTCTTCGCATAAGAAGGAATGTCAAAAAGGTAAAATACTAGATTAAGATTTCTAATGGGATATTTTATATTTTAATTTACTTAATGATAACTACACATTACTGCACAATGTAGAAGAAAATCATTTTACAAAGTAGAAAATTAGGCCAAAGAGATTAAATGACTTTCCTGAGACTTTAGCTACATTATGGCAGAATTGTATAAATACCCAATTTTTGTCACTTTTTATTCTTCACACTTTGCCTGCACATTTATTAGATTAAGTTACTCGTAGACTAGCTAATGTCCTACACACTGATATGCAAACATTCCCAATATCAATATGATTGATTAACTGGTTATTTTTAAGTGGAATAACATCCTTATGTGGGAGCCAGGAAGAGGAAGGCTTCTGTTATATTTCAAAATTGTTTCTTAATTTCATTTGATACATTCTAGTTTCAAAAGTTCATTCAAATTCACTAAGGTTAAATGTGAAAATTAACTATCTGGTAGACAGATAAGATTTCGTATTCACACTGTAGTAGTGGATGTAAAAGTGAGAATAGATAGAATTACCTTATTTTCTACTTTCATTGTGGAATTCTTATTTTGTCCAAAGCCTCACCAAAAAAAAAAAAAAAAAAAAAAAAAAAAAAAAAAAAAACCACGAAAGCAAATAATAAGTGATTACTTTTTGACTTCTAACTTGGTATTTTGTTGGTAAAATATTTCTGAAGTGAACATAAAGGAAGTGAATGGAGGGAAGAAATGGAAAAGGGGGAGGAGAAAAAAACAGAAACAAAGAAAAAAAGAAGGAAAAATGTTGGGTAAACTGCATTCTGAAGGATAATAAGGTATATTGAATCAAATACATTTGTTTGTATTTTATTTCTTAATTGACAAATAACTATAAATATTCATGGGGTACATAGAGATGTTTCAGTGCATAAAATGTATAGTGATCAGATGGGGCAATTAGCATTTCCATCATCTCAAATATTTATCATTTCTTTATGTTGGGATTGTTCACTAGCTTCCTTCTAGCTATTTGAAACTATTTAAAACATTATTGTTAACTATAGTCATTCTGCAGTGGTATAAAATACAAGAACTTATGCGTTCTATCTAGCTATAATTCTGTACCCATTAACAAATCTCTCCCTGTCTGTCTTTCCTTTTGCTTTCCCAGCCTCTAGTAAGTGTTCTTTGTTCTACTTTTTACTTCTATGAGATCGACTTTTCTTAGTTTCCACAGATAAGTGAAACCATGTGGTGTTTAACTTTCTGTTCCTGGCTTATTTCACTTAACATAATGTCCTCCAGTTCTATCCTTGTTGCCCAGAATGACAGGTTGTCATTTGTTTTCTTTTTCAATTGCGTATATATACCACATTTTCTTTATCCATTCATCTGTTGTTGGACACCTTGCCTGATCCCAATTCTTGGTTGTTGTGACTAGTGCTTCAATAAACATGGGGGTGTAGATTTCTCTTTGATAGAATGATTTCTTTTCCTTTGGGTACATTCTCAGTGGCAACATTGCTGGATTATATGGTTGTTCTATTTGTAGTTTTTTGAGGAAATTCCATATCAGCTGTACTAGTTTCCAATCCCACCAATGGTGTATAAGTGTTTCCTTTTCACTGCATCATTGCCAGCATTTGCTTTTTGTCTTTTTCGTAACAGCCATCTTAAGTAAAGTGAGATGATACTTCACTGTGGTTTGGATTTTCCTGATGATTAGCGATGTTGAGGGTTTTTTGTTTCTAAGATGGTCTTTCTCTGTCACCTAGGCTGGAGTACAGTGGCACAATCTCAGCTCACTGCAGCCTCAACCGCCCCAGCTCAAGTGATCCTGTTGCCTCAACTCCCCAGGTAGCTGGGACTGCAGGTGCATGCCACCACTCCAGGCTAATTTTTGTATTTTTTGTAGAGATGGGGTTTCACCATGTTGCCCAGGCTGGTCTTGAACTATTGAGCTCAAGCAGTCCATCTGTCTCAGACTCCCAACGTTCTAGGATTACAGGCATGAGCCACTGGTTCCAGGATGAGTATTTTTTCATTTATTTGTTGCCCATTTGTTTGCCTTCATTTGAGAAATGTCAGTTCAGACAGATAATTTGCCCAATTTAAAATTGGATTATTTGTTTTTTTTGCTGGCCAGATGTTTGTATTCCTCGTATATTCTGGATATGGATCTTCTTTGGGGTGAGTAGTTTGCAAATATTCTCTCCCATTCTATAGGATTTATTACCAATCTGTTGCTTGTTTCCTTTGCTGTGCAGAGATTTCTAGTTAAATATAATCCCATTTAATTATTTTTGCTTTTGTTGCTTGTCCTTTTGAGGTCTTATTCATAAAATCTATCCCCAGACCAATGTACTGAAGCATTTCCCCTATGTTTTCTTTCAGTAGTTTTATTTTTGGGGGTGTTACATTTAGGTATTTGAACAGTTTTGTGTTGGTTTTTGTATAGGGTGAGATGTGGGTGTCTAGTTTCATTCTTCTGCATATTACTACCCAGTTTTCCAGCATCATTTGTTGATGAGACTGCTCTTTCCTCAAAGAGTGTTCTTGGCACTGTTGTCAAAAATCAGTTGTCTATAGATATGAGGATTAATTTCTAGGTTATTTTTTCTGTTCCATTGGTCTGTGTCTCTGTTTTTATGCCAGTAACATACTGTTGTGGTTACAATAGTTTGCAGTACATTTTGAGGCCTGGCAGTTTGATAACTCTAGCTTTTTTTTTTTTTCTCAAGATTGCTATATTCAGGTTCTTTTGTGTTTTTTACTAATTTTAGGATTTTTTTCTATTTCTGTGAAGAATGTCATTGGTATTTTGATACAAATTGCATGGAATCGGCAGATTGCTTTGAGTAGTATTGTTATTTTAACAATATTAATTATTATGATTGATGAGCATAGGATGTCTTCATTTGGTTGTATTTTCCTCAATTTCTTTCATCTGGATTTTGTAGTTTTCCTTGTAGAGGTATTTTTCACCCTTTGGTTAAATTCATTTCTAAATATTTTATTTTTTGGTTTTAGCTATTATAAATGGGATTATCATCTTGATTTCTTTTTCAGCTAGTTCATTGTTCTTGTGTAGAAGCACTACTAATGTTTACATATTAACTTTGTATACTACAACTTTACTGAATTTGTGTATCAGTTCTAAGAGTTTGTTGGCTGAGACTTTAGGTTTTTCTTTGTATGAGATCCTGTAATCTGCACATAGGGATGATTTGACTTCCCCCTTTTCTATTTGTATGCCCTTCGTTTCTTTTTCTTGCCTCATTGACTATCTGGCTACTACTTCTAGTACTATGTTGAATAAGAGTGGTGAGAGTGGACATGCTTGTCTTGCTCCAGTTCTTAGAAGAAACGTTTTTAGGTTTGTCCCATTGAGGAAGATGTTAGCTGTGGGTTTGTCATATATGGCCTTTATTATTGAGGACTATATTATTATTCTATATTATTATGAGTTTTCCTCATGACAGGATATTAAATTTTAGCAAAAGCTTTTTCTGCATCTATTGAGATGATCATATGGTTTTGGTCCTTCATCCTATTGATGTGATGTATGACGTTTATTTATTTGCATATGTTAAACCATCCTCGCATTACTAGGACAATCCCATTTGATCATAGTGTATTACCTTTTAGATGTATTGTTGGATTCTGTTTGCTAGCATTTTGTTGAAAATGTTTGTTTCTAGGTTCATCAGAGACATTGGCCTGTAGTTTTCTTTTCCTGTTGTGTCTCTATCTGAGCTAGGTACCAGGGTTATACTGGCCCCATAGGATGTTAGAAAGAATTTTCCCCTCTTCAATTTTTTGGAATAGTTTGAGAAGAATTAGTATTAATTCTGCTTTAGAGATTTGGTAGCATTTAGCAATGAAGTCATCCAGTCTCTGACTTTAAGTTGGAAGACTTTTAATTACTAATTCAATCTCATTACTTGTTTTGGTCTATTAGATTTTTATTTCTTCTTGGTTCAATCATGGTAGGTTGTATGTGTCCAGGAAGTATTGCTGTACATTAGCTTTACTCTTCAAACACATGAGCATCAAGTAAACATAATTATACTAGGACAAAACTGCGTTATGTCTGGCTTAAGATATTTTAGAAATGCAGTTCTACATTATTTGTAGCTTTCTGATAAGTAGCTTCTTACTTGAATTCTTTAGTTCTAAATTCTAAGTAGAAATTAACTTTGTAATGTATTTTAAATGCATATTTTATATTAGATGCTGAGTTGATATGCCTTTTAGAAATAAATCCTCAGTAATTATCAAATTCAACTACATCATTTTACAAAGGAAGGAACTTCCTCTTAGAAAATTAAAATCACCATTTTCAGTGGCACATAGATATTGGAAGATTCAATTTTAGAATACTAGGCTAACTTCCCTTTCAACAAAAAGGCTTCTTGTTTCTATTGCCATGTAAGTTTATATCCTGAAGTCTTAAGTGAATGGAAGACCACATTTTGTCACTAGAATTTTTTTCTTTGTTTAACTGATTAGATATCTAATTAATATTTTCATGGTAAAAGTTGAAGCAAATAAAGGCAAAATAAACCATTATAGAGGTGGTTAATTTGCCTCATTAATGGGGATGTTTTATGCTTTGAAGAGTTTGGGTAACTTTTAAAGATATCAAACTGTAGGACCAAATTTAAAAAATCAATGAAAAATACTTAGTTGAGCCTGCTAATGAAAAGAAAAGTCCTGAAAAGAAAAGTAGAGGCAACTGAGGAAGGTACTGAAGTTAGGGGTATAGCAAAATAAAATGAGTGGTTTCAGAATTTTTAAACTAGGTCTCTAGAAACCAAACTTAGCTTAAATTACAATTCTTTACTTCGTTGGTATTCATCAGTGACAAAAGCCACCTGACAATCATTGGATACCTCCTGCTGTTGAAAATGTCCAAGGGAAAGAAACATGACATTGTATCTTATTGTTTCATTTCAGTGAGTTTACTTTAGGTTCCTAAAAATAGGGGATAACATGACAAGAATTACCAATAGCTTAGAAATATTTATGCATTTACTTCCTGCATTATTTCTTCACAAAATTTCTGTCATTCTCTAATGATTGTCGGTTGTTTATATGAATACAAATCTGCTAAAAGAAACTCATATTTAAAACATGAGATTTCCCATCTATTATAAACAGGTATTATAGTATGAATAAAGCAAAACAGCCAATTACTAAGCGTTTTGAACACTTTGCTAAGTGTTTTGAAAATGAATCTATGAACATTATGTATAGCCAATATTAGATAACCCATAGGAGGATTTCAGCGTTCCTTCAGAAGGCATTCCCTTATGACTAACCATGATTTCTCAATTATTATTACCCTATCATGAAAAAATAATCATTGAATTAAATTAATGTCAGAGAGAAACACCCAGAAGCACATAGGATAATAAAGAAAAATTATTTGGTGATGATTTTAAAATGGAAATTACCCTTAAAATAGAAAATCGATACATACATAGATTTGGCCATGATTCATGACATAGGCCAATATCTTAACAAATGAGAACAAAACCAAAAATGTAAATCTAAAAGACAGACTTTAAAGCTACAGAATATGCAGTTAAATTCATTATATATCCAATAAACATAAGTGGTTAATGAAAGGTAAACATTGTGTGTGTGTGTGTGTGTGTGTGTGTGTGCATGTGTGCGCTTTTAAGTTACCATCTGTAGAACACACACTATGATAACAGTCTCCACGTAAATGTATGATTGAGCAAATATGAATCAATAGGGTCTTCTATTAGGCAAAGGGCAACATGGGCATCACTATTCAGCATGCTTTCATTACAAAAAGAAAAGGCACTATATCTATCTTTCTAGTTGTATGATTCTTTTGAACTGAATGCTCAACTGAAGCTACATAGAAATATTTTAAAGTTGAGTGTAGCAGAAAACACCGAAATGCCAAAAATGTACTTAAACTTTAACAGTACTTAACAGAAATTGGTAAAATAAATTAGCGTTTACATAGCAATGTCACTGGACCCTTGGGGTATCACTTCACCATCCAGAAACCTCTGTGGCTGTGGCACCTTCTGCCTGAATATTTCTCGTGCCCACTGGGCTCATTCAACCCACTCAGCCTGGCAGGCTGCACTTGGCTTGCACTACCAGCCCAGATCCCGCACCTGCCAAGGGCAAGCCAAGTGCAAAGCAATGAGGGATGTGTGGGTGAGCAACCACAGGGTCTGGCTACTGCGCACAGTCAGGCATGCTGGCTGCTGTGGCAGGGAGGGCAGCTCCAGGTGCTCACACAGGTTCCAGCTCTGTGTGAGGCTGTGCTGAACCATATGTACTGCACATGGCTTCCACTGTGGGCACCTGTGTCTGAACGAGGGGAACGCGGTGGAGCCTGGAAGCTTAGAGACACCAGGAATGGCAGAGCCCCAAAGAGGTTGTCACAGGCAGGGTTCCCCCAGATCTGGGTTCCCCAAAGGGCTGCACCTGTTCTCTCCTTCATGCCACCCATATCACGATACATGGGGTGAGTGGGGGCATTTCAGCCGTGTGTGTGTTATAGCTCTTTCAGTCTCACCATTCGGCAGGTCCCAAATTCTTGTCCCACATCCAGGAAGAATGAAGTACACAGACACCTGGAAGGTGAGCAAGACAGAAAGGAGCTTCACTGAGTGACAGACCAGCTCTCAGGAGACCCAGGGTGGGTAGCTCCTTTCCACAGGCAGGTCATCCCAATGAATGTCCAGGTCTCGGTGGAGAGGAGATCCAGAGTGGGGAGGTCTTTTCTGCAGGCAGGTCATCACTATGAGTGGAAGAGATCCAAACTGGTTAGCTCCTTCCCATAACTGGTAGTCCTGATGTTTCTGTGAGTATGGCTGATTCCAGGGGGTTTTATGTGCTTCAGAAGAGAGGAAGTGAGTCCTGATTGGTCCATTGTGGCCACGGGTGGGCCTGTAAAAATCTCCGTAAGTTCTCACTTTAGGCTGTGGACTCCACCCAGAACTGACAGCCAAGCTCCCATGCCTCCGGCTGTCCCTGGCTTGAAGGTGGGGCTTCACCGGGGACCTACCACTTTCCATCCAGGAGCCTGTCTGCCTCCTGCTGCCATCAGTCATGTTGTTCATGGAGAGTAGTGCCTTTAGGTCCCTGCCAAGATGCCCTCAACACCCTCTTTACCTCCCTCCTGTGCTCGTCAGCACCCAAAGCCTGGAGGGGGCCTAAGCAGCAGGGGGCTGGCATGTCAGTGCCGCCCTGAGTGAGTACACATCCAGCCAGATCATGACAGTGCCCAGGCTCAGCCTCAACTTTGCAAAATCAAAGCAGGCACAGGGAGCAGGAAGAGGCCAGGTAGCCAGAGCAGCACTTCCTAGCCCCTAGGGGTAGGGAGGGATTCCGAGACCCTGTGGGAATGCAGCAATGTATGGTTGGGCAGCTGCAGCTGCTCCCAGGAGGCAGGGCTCCCTCTCCGCCAACTCAGAAGAAAGCGGGTCTCCTATCTGTTCCCAGCTCCTGCAGACTCAGTGGAGCGCACATGGAGCTCACAGCCCTGGAGGTGCCTCACCTGTAGCAGCTGGTGACTACACAGCGGCCGCTCCTGATAGGCCGCCACTGCCATCAGTAATATATAGATGGAAACATAAATGTTTGTGATCTCATCTAATATAAAAAGTCCAATTTGTATTTTTTCTATTATGATCACACTTTAAGTGAATTTTTAAACACAAAATATTCAATAGATTTGCAGCCATTTCCATAAGTTAAAAAACACTATTAGAGTATTTTTTTGGAACTTACACTATCTTATTATAGATGGTAGGAGAGTAAGACACTCTCTAGCATTCTGAATTTTAGGAAATATCATTAATTCATAACATTTTATAAAGATTCTTTAATGCAGTTTATTGTATATGTGAAGTAGAACAGTGTGATATAGGACAGTGATTTTCAACATGTGTTTAGATTAAGATTTGCTAAATATTACTATGTGTTATTACAAAACATATTTTATAGTCAAATGAGTTAGGAAAATGCAGGCTGAATTACCCCAAATGATTTATTTCACTAGAGGACTTCAAAGAGCAGTTTTAAATAATCAATTCAGACCTGGTGCAGTGACTCGCACCTATAATTCAATACTTTGGAAGGCTGAGGTGGAGGATTGCTTAAGGGCAAGAGTTTGAGGTTATAGTGAGCTATGATTCCACCACTGCATTCCAGCCTGGGTGACAAAGCAGAACCCTGTCTTTAAAAAAAATCAACCTTATTAAAAATATTCAAAACTAACATATGTTCTAAAGAATTTTCCCAGCTTATTTGATCAATATACCCTTTCAGATGACTTCTTATAGGATCAGAATTCAAGAGAAGTCTCTTTAGGAAAATACATTCTTTTAGAAAGAATCCTCGGCTAGCCATTTATAGCACAGCATAGTATAGCATAGTTGGATTTCACTATCTGGCATGAACTACCTATAGGAGGACCTTATTTAGTCAATTAACCCTTTACACTTTTGTAATATGTCAGACTACCTTCATATATCACATTTTGAAAATGAAAGAAGATTAAATGTGAATAAACCCTAAGAATACACCAAAATAAATATACATTACTTTTTAAACTATAATAAAATAACATATTGTTTGCACTATGGCTTTTGAGGGGGCCTCAACATTCGAGACTTCAGCTGCATATTAGAATAACTCTGGAAACTTTAAAAACAATCAATGTCCAGGCTTCTTCCTAAATCAATTAAATGAAGATCCTTGGGTTGAGGCCAGACATTGATGTTTTTAAAAGCTCTCAAGATGATCCTAATGTACACTGAAGGTTGAGAAGCACTGCTATAGACTATCTGTCTAAGGGAAGAAATCAACTCTCAGACCAACCAGAATTGTCCTAAAGGAATAAATTTTATCAGATAAGGAAGCATGTTCCTTATTTTCTAATACCTGTTATTTGACACAACTTCATATCCTATGCTAGTTATTGGGCTTTATCTGACAAAGGTTCCTCATGATATGGGACAGAATCTGAAAGTAGGTGAAAGCAGAAGTGGCTGGCAACAGAATGAAGGGTGATGGTACTGATTTAAGTTGACTTGATAGACAGGTGACTGTTTTTCAGTCATAAAGTGGGGAGTGGAACAAATGTGTCATAATTGTCCAAGGAGTCATATTTACATCCGGACAATCCCTTCTCCTCCTCACCCACATACATTTTCATGCAAGTGTCCTAGAAATTTTGTTTGTTTTTTTTTTTTTTTTTGAGACGGAGTCTCGCTCTGTCGCCCAGGCTGGACTGCGGACTGCAGTGGCACAATCTCGGCTCACTGCAAGCTCCGCTTCCCGGGTTCAACGCCATTCTCCTGCCTCAGCCTCCCCAGTAGCTGGGACTACAGGCGCCCGCCACCGCGCCCGGCTAATTTTTTGTATTTTTAGTAGAGACGGGGTTTCACCTTGTTAGCCAGGATGGTCTCGATCTCCTGACCTCATGATCCACCCGCCTCGGCCTCCCAAAGTGCTGGGATTACAGGCGTGAGCCACCGCGCCCGGCCGAAATTTTGTTTTTCTCACATCACTGAATTGAAAAACATTAACGTGGAAAATTTCTTTCAAATTCAGGACCTCTGGTGAGCATCACACTTATCACTTAAAATGTATTTAATGGTGAAAATGCAAGTACTATGAGGAAGGAAAACACTGTAGTATATCTTCTTTATTAACTTGATACAAAAAAATTAGGAAAATAAAGATTTGAAAGATTTTGAACATAAGAAAAGAAAGCAATAAATACTGAGTAGGTATGAGGTATGGAGGAAAACTGGCATATATTTAAGGAGTTTGAGGCATTTAGGGCGATTTTTACCTATTTAATAACTTTCTCTCTTCCTGACACTTGTAAGAAATATCAGTGTTGGACAGACGTGTTCACAAAGCCATAGGGAGAGGAAAAGGCACACAAAAGATTTTGGGCCTGAATAAATGTAGTCCATACTAATTTCATATATCCTTTATTATTGTCAAGACTCTAGGTCTTATTATGTGTGAGATTATATTTTCTTGTTCAGAAAAATATTTCCAGCAGATTTATTGCAACAAGTAGCTGAACTGCTTTTGGAAACAGTAGTAAAGAAATCATTTTAAAAGCATGGCTTTCCTACTTTTCAAATCTAAACAACACAGCCACTATTAATCAAGTTTACAGATTTTCAAGTTCCTAATAGTCTGGTTTGGTTTGACTTGAATGTATTTGTTATCTTAACAGCTTTTTCCTTTAAACAATTTTATTGCTCAGAATTACCTTAACTGGAAACCCTTGCTATTTCAGCAAGCCTTCATATCATAGCAGCCATGAATCAATAGCTCAGTATTGAATTTTGAGAAATACTGACTAACCCTATTGCTACAGGACAGGATTTGCTTCTAACTAGCAATTAAATTGCCATGTAGGCTAAAATCCATATTTCAAAAGTCATCACCATAATGTTAGCTTGTTTGATTCCTAGGCTTTCAAAATGTACTTATTGTTCAAATGTACTGTTATTAAAAGATAAAAATCACAAAACTAAATCCAGGCTTCTTCATCTCTAGCTTCTACTTGGGAAGTCATGGTAGCCTGAAAAGATTTTCTTATTGCTTTGAGAGAGCAGAGGTGAGTTATGGGTACCAAATAAAATAGAGGTGTATTGACTCTACTCAGTGCTCTGATTCATACCTTAGTCTGCCTTAAACAGTAGTTTTGTGGTTTGAGATGTGGGTAGAAGCGTACAAGAGGAAGTGCCTGAAAGCTGTAGGCTGGGATGGGTCAAAGGGTATCAGAGGATCATAGAAATAGCAGCCAGCTAGTAGTCCTGCTGAATGCTGAAACCTTGACTCATGACACCCAGTCACTAAAAACTAGGGACTAATAGGAAAATTAGTCCCTAGTTTTACATTAGTTACACAAGTTAACATTTTTCCAGGCCTTCTCAAAGGATTGAGTTGCCAAAAATTACATTTAATTACAAAAAAATTGCAGCCCCAAATATTGTTTATATGTTAATTAGACTAAAAATAATATTAGGGCTAGTGTTCAAGAGGTAAAATAGCTCAAAGGGATACTTTGGTATTTGAGACAGTGTGAAGGATTTTTTTGCTGTGCTGTTTTGGTAGGATGGACTCTGTCTCATAAAATTTCTTCCACATAGAACAAGATAACCTCAAAATCACAAAACTTCACATATTGGTCACCCAAAATCAATTTATATGTGCTCTATGCTTTAGAACTCAACATTTTTTTAAAAATGCACTTTCCCTCTGAATTTATTGGCAAACGCAACAATCATTATTTGGTCTCAAGAGAGTACACTAATATTTAACTATATCCAGGTCTCCTCTAACAATAAAAAATGCTATAATTGATTGAAGTGAATACAAATTATTGAAACACAAAGTTAAACACTTGAAGATAAAAAGTATATCAGCATGTTGAATAATGTATTTTTTTCTGATACAGAGAGATAGGTAGAAAGAAAGAGAGAAAAAGAGATCCTTAACTGATTACCAAAGATATAAGGAAAGGCATTAGGAAGTGTAACATACTTTTGTAGAAGCAATGAAACTTCTGGCTTAGGAATCTATAAAATAGACTGCAGGAAATGTGTAAATCCCACTGCCTTCCGGCCTTCATTATTTCAAACTATAAGTAATTTATCAATTGCATGGCTATTACTTAGCATGTTGAGTTGTTTCTCTCCTACTGTATTGAAGAATTTCTCTTTGTTTTTCAGCAATTTGACTTTGGTATATCTAGGTTTAGATATCTTTGTGTTTATCCTATGTAGGAATTGTTGAGCTTCTTGGATCTGTAAATTAATATTTACATCAAATGTGGGACATTTTTAAGCCTCATTTCTTCCAATATTTTTCTGCCCTTCCTTTTTTCTATCTGGCAATCACATTACATCCATGTTGATATCCTTGATATTTTCTCACAAATCTCTGAATTTTTATTTTTCATAATTTTTTCTCCTAATTCTTTTCTTTCTTTCCTTCCTTCCTTCCTTCTTTCCTTCCTTTCTTCCTTTCTTTCTTTCTTTCTTTCTTTCTTTCTTTCTTTCTTTCTTTCTTTCTTTCTTTCTTTCTTCTTTCTTTCTTTCTTTTCTTTTCTTTTCTTTCTTATCAGTCTCGCTATGGTGCCCAGGCTGCTCTTGAACTCCTGGGTTCAAGCGATTCACGCACCTTGGCCTCCCTTACTGCTGTGATTACAAGCATGAGCCACCATGCCTGGCCTCTCCCTAGTTTTAAGATTGAATAATTTTAATTGAGCAATTTCAAGCTTATTGATTCATTTTTTTTTCTGTCAGGCTCAAGCCTGTCTGGTAAATTTTCTTTTCATTTATTGTACTTCTCAACTCCAAAATTTCTATTTGGTTCTTTATTCAAACATTCCTATATATTTACTGAGATTTTCTATTTTCTGAGTTATTGTCATCACAATTAAATTATTTAAGCATTGTTTTCTTTACTTCTTTGAATATAGTTATAACAGCTACTTTGAGGTCTTTTTCCTTAAATCCAATATCTAGGTTTCCTTATAGATAGTGTCTTTTTTTAATCCTGTGTACTAGTCACACTTTTAGGCTTCTTTTCATGTCTTAAGAATTTTTATTGAAAACTAGACATTTTAGACAACATAGCAACTCTGGATTCTGACCTTCTTCCTCTGTGTTTTTATTGCTGCTGTTTAGTTCATTCGGTTGTCTGTTTAGAAACTTGTCAATACTAAATATGTGTCAAAAGCAAGAGGATGAACTTAAATGGGCTCTGACTAGACAAATCTGAGAAATGTGAGCATCAAAATTAATGATGTAATGGCAATATCATAATACATTAAAATTGATATGTTCATGGAAAAAGACGGAAGAGTTCTTAAGAAAGTCCTGATATCTGAGAAGGATGTGGAGCAACAAGAAATTTTGTCTTTTGCTGGTGGGAATGCAAACTGGTATAGTCACTTTGGGAGACAATTTGGCAGTTTCATATACAATTAAACATAGACGACTGATAGAACCTAGCAAGGGCACCTTTAGGTATTTATCTATCTGGTTTGAAAACTTATGTCAACCAAAATTTTGCCTTTGAATATTTACAGCAGTTATCTCCAAAACATGAAAGTGGCTAAGATGTGTTTCAGAAGATGAATGGATAAAACGCCCCGTTATACATCAATACAATGGAATTAAATTCAGTAATAAAAAGAAATGAACACAATGACATTAATAAATTTTTCATTTATATTGCTAAGTGAAAGAAGCTTGTGTGAAAAGGTTACATATCATATTATTCCATTATGTCACATTTTGGAAGAGGCAAAACACCTATCAGTGGTTTCCAGGATTTTAGGGAGCATTGTGTAAGTGAAGCACAGGAGATTGTATTTTAGGAGGGTAAAACTGTTGTGTGATGCTGAATTTGTCAAACATGTAGAACTTTAAATCCAAAAAGTAACATTTAATATATGCAAATGTAACTTGGGAGGTCAAGGGATCCCAGGATGGAATGCAAATTGTGGTAAAATAATTTAATTGTATTACAAATGTGTGACATCACTGAAGGAATTACGGTGAAAAATTGCTCACCCAAGTGACTTTGGAGAAAGTGGAGACAGTAAGACTGAAGAAAATATGAATTGTGCATAAGTACTGTACTCTAGTTGGTGAAGTTGTTTCTCATATGTCTATGAGTTAGTAATTCTGAAACCACTATGTATACATACTTGGACTGAACAAACGCATTAACAAATTGTAGATACTGGAAGTCTTTTTTTTCCCTTACAATCGAAGGAGCAGGAGTAGAATGAACCTTTTAATACCAAATTAAGTTGGAGACATCAGTATAAACTCATGTTTAATTTAATAATGATTAAAAACTGATAGATATAGAAATACTTATAAATATGTATGTATACACAGGGTATAATAGAAACAAATTTCCAAGTTGTGTCCTCTAAAAAAGCTTAGAAGTAATAATACCCCAGTAGCAATGAGCATACTGAGAACCTAGTATGATCTTAGTTTCTAACAGAAAACAATAGAGCTCCTTGGAAAAAGTCTAGGGTAGTAAATATGTAAGATGAGCCTAAAGCATCTAGTAATACCAGATTGTAAGGAAGTGCTTAAAAACAAACCAATGACGTCAGCCTTAGGAAAGAATTTATGACAAAGTTCTCCAAAGCAATTGCAACAAAAACAAAAATTGACAAGTGGGACCTAATTAAATTAAAAAGCTTCAGCACATCAAAAGAGACTATCATGGGAGTAAACAGAAAACCTACAGAATGGGAGAAAATATTCTCAAACTATACCTCTGACAAAGGTCTAATATCCAGAAACTACAAGGAATCTAAATAATTAAACAAACAAATATCAAATAACCTCATTAAAAAGTGGGCAAAAGACATGAACAGACACTTCTCAAAATAAGACAAACAAGTGGTCAATAAACATGTGACAAAATGTTCAACATCACTCATCATCAGAGGGATGCAAATAAAAACAGCAAGGAGATACCATCTCCTTGACAGAATGGCTATTATTAAAAAGTCAAAAAAAAAAAAAAACAGATGCTGGAGAGGCTGTGGAAAAAAAGGAATGCTTATATGCTGTTAGTGGGAATGTAAATTAGTTCAGCCACTATGGAAAGCAGTTTGGCAATTTCTCAGATAACTTAAGACAGTACTACCATTTGACTCAGCAATCTCACTACTAGGTATATAATAAAAAATAAAATAAATTACTCCACCAAAAAGACACATGCCCTAGTATATTCATTGCAGTACTATTCACAATAGCAAAGACATGGAATCAATCTAGGTACCTATCAATGTTGGATTGTATAAAGAAAATGTGGTACATATACATTATGGAATACTATGCAGCCATAAAAAAGAATAAAAACATGACCTTTGCAGCAACATGGATGCAGCTAGAGGCTATTGTCCTAAGCAAATTAACACAAGAATGGAAATCAAATGCCTCATGTTCTCACTTATATGTGGGATCTAAATATTGGGTACTCATGTCTATAAAGATGGCAACAATTGACACTAAGGACTACTAGAAGAGGGAGGGAGAGAGGAGGGCAAGGGTTGAAAAACTACCTATCAGGTACTATGCTCACTACCTGCGTGATAGGATCAATCATAACCCAAACTCAGCACCATTCAATATGCCTATGTAATAAACATTCACAGTTCTCCCAGAATCTAAAATAAAAGTTGAAATTATAGAAAAGAATGAAATATGTCAAAGAAGTACAGGAGCCAACTGAAATAGCTCTTAACGACAAAGCTGGAACAAATTGAGTGAAAAAATAAATAACATAGAACTGGGCTCTTACCTAAAGTAAAAATAAGTATCTATGAGTTCATACTGATAATAAATAAATGACAGAATAAATACATGTAAAGGGAAGGATAGACAAATCTCTGTCTAGAAGAAATAAAGATAATTTATATAGATACACCTTCCTTCAGGAAGTGGGTTTTGTGTAGTGACTTTCTTCCAAAGACTAGCATATAGAAAGAGGGGAAAGGAGTAATTTTGCAGTTGAGAAACCTGACAAACCCTGTCCTAGCCATGTGATCAAGGTTAACATCCATGGTGAAAAGTCATGTTAATAACATTGATTCCTGGCATAATAAAATGTAAGTGGTACTTTATCTGTGTGGTCTACTTTCCCAAAAGCTAAAACCAGGTCTAGTCATGACAAAACATCAGCCAAAAGAAAATTGAACATTCTACAAAATACCTGATTAGTACCCCTTAAAACTATCAAGGTAGTTAAACACAAGGACAATCTGAGAAACTGCCACCATATAGGGACGTCTAAGGAGACATGATGAGTAAATATAACATGGTATACTGGATGAGATCCTGCATCGGAAAAAGAATGTTAGGGGCTGGGCGTGGTTGCTCATGCCTGTAATCCGAGCACTTTGGGAGGCCAAGGCAGGCAGATCACCTGAGGTCAGGAGTTTGAGACCAGCCTGGCCGACATGGTGAAACCCCATCTCTACTAAAAATACAAAAATTAGCCGGGTGTGGTGGTGCATGCTTGTAATCCCAGCTGCTTGAGCGACTGAGGCAAGAGAATTGCTTGAACCTGAGAGACGGAGATTGCGGTGAGCTGGGGTCATGCCACTGCACTCCAGGCTGGGCAACAGAGCAGAACTCTGTCTCAAAAAAAAAAAAAAAAAAAGAACCCAGAAAAACAACATTACATAAAAACTAAATAAACCAGCTAATGAATGGACTGTATTTTGTGTCAATAGTCAATTATTAATGATCAAAAATGTATCTTCTAAGGCAAGATATTAATATCAAAGCAAACTGATTGTGATAAGTGAAAGAACTCTGTACTATCTTGGAAGGTTTCCTGTAAATATAGAACTATTCTACAATTTTTTTTTAGAAAAGAAAACATGGGGTAAACTTTAGGAGGAAAAAGTATGTTCATGTAGTTCAAAGGACTGCCCCACTAATTGTTTTTCATTACAAAGAAGTAAAGGTATCTTTTTGATGGAGAAATCTAGAACGTGCCAACTTAAGCAAGTGATGAATTTTTTCATTGCCAGATATTGAAAAATTACATGCCATATGCTATTTGATGTGCTATACAGAGAAGGATACAACATCATTTATGCTGTGATTTTGACAAAAATATCTACTATGAATTTAATTATGAAGAAAGTATTAGACCAAGTCCAACAAAGTGATATTTCACAAAAATAACTGTAAAATTTCTTAAACATGTAGAAGCTTTATTAGCTGGAGGAATGCAAGTTAAAGTATTAACTTTTTTACTTATTGGTAATATTTTACCATAGAGTTTTTGAAAAGGGCTTCTTAGACTAAGTGGCCTTAGTTATATAAATCTAAGGATCTCTTGATCAGGATCTCTGTGATTGAGTGCGAGAACAGAATACATGTTTTGGTGAGTTAATGTTTTCCTGCGTAAGTAGAATGAAAAAAAAAAAACAACCCAACTCTTTCTAGGAATTTGGATTGGGTAAATCAGAGATGATCAGGCATAGTGTCAGTGATGTGAACATTTAGAATTTAAAGTTTACCTAATCCTAAAGCATTGCATTAACTCTAAATATGACTATAACCAGAAGCTTTCTTCCACTTCATGATCTAGATATAAGAAGTCTTTCAACGATTTTTTCTCTGCTCCTACCATATAGTCAGTGTAACCACAGAGAAACTGAACATGTGAACAATTATGGAGCATAATATTTTTTGTAAAATGGAAGTGATTATTCATCTTTTAAAAATATAAACCTGACATAACTTTTTAAATATAAAAATTATTTTTGAATTAACATAACAGAATCACCAGCCATGAATATTACGTCTGACTAGAAAGGTAAGGCACTATTTTGTAACATCATTTTATCTGGCTAGGCAGCAGAGTTTCTAGTTTTTTACTCTGAACCATTTTCTTAATTGGATCATTAATATCAGCTATTGGTTATATTTTTAAAATGTTCTATACAGAGAAAAATGTAAAGACCCCTTCCCACTACCATGTTTTTGTCTTATTTTGTTTTCAGTATTGTCAAATTTCAGTAAATCTGTTAGAAAACCTATATATTTTACACATGCTGTAAATAATCTGATCCTGTAAAGTAACAGATGTGTGTTCTTACTATCAAGTACTACAATTATATCGCTTTGTTTGAAGTGAGCTTTCTTCTTTCTTCCAACTTTGTGATCTCCTTCCAAGCACATAGCAGAGCCTCCCTACAATGGGTTGACTGTGTTATTTGACTTTGCCCTAAGCTTTGCAAGGCCCCCTGTGGCTGGTTGTAAGAGGCATTGGGAAAAAAAGAAAAATGCCTTTTGCCAGCTAGTACTGAAGAGAGAAATAACACAGACACCTTGAGACTTATGTTCAATTAACCTTCCCTGCCTCCCAGCATTTCCACGGCAAAACTACCAACTTCCACAAAAGTTATAAGCAATTCAACAAATATTTACAGGACTCCTAGTGGGGTGGGAGATATTCTGCCAGGGCCAGAAAGGGAGGAGTAAAGGGGAGGAGGAAATTGATTAAGAGAGGGGAAAGAGTCTAAAAGTCTGAGTTTGGGAGTTAAATAAAATGGGTTAAAGACTTTTAACTCTTTCCTATATTGATCTGTGAACTTCAGTAAGATAACACCTGTAATTATTTTTTCTCATTTGAATAAGACTAGAGGGATTTATGTAAAATCAAATGAATACCTTTTTAGTTTCAAATAAATCAATAACAACAATTCAAGTTAAATAAATTTAATAGAATTAATAAGTGTAATATTTAAATATTACAAATTTATTGCCTACTAACTTGTGACTGAGAATAAGAATTTAATTGAACTAGTTCTGGGAAGCAAATCAGACTTTGGAAAGATGGATAAAATTTCCTGAGAGGAGACAAGTCATATAGACTGAACTAGATAGGGATCAAAATTCTAGGCTTTCTGGTGAAATTGAATTTATACATTTATAGACAGGTTAGCTATAAGAGTGCCTGAATTGTGTGCCAAAGACTGATCATAGACTGGGGGGGGCTGTCAAATATTCGATAGCAAAATATAAGAGAATAAGAAATAAGTGGCTAAAAGAAGCACAAATTACACACAGAGGAAAAACCCAGAATAATTTATTCCAGTTGATATGGGAGGGATTATCAGGAAAGGTTTTATGGGATAGGTAGCATTGAGTTGAGTCTTAGAGATGACAGTGTTGATATCTGAGGCAGAGAAGGGGTAAGGACTTGATCAATGTCAATTCTGTGGGCACAGGATGTATTGAAGAAATATGGAAGTATTAAAGAAATGATAGATATGCCAGAGGGTCACAGTATGTTAATGTGATCAAGAATAAGTCTATATGTACAGAGGGCAGAGAATGTTGCACAGGTAACCTACGGAGAAAACCAATATAAGGAAAAAAAATGAAGCCTAAGGACTGAACCCTGGGGAATATCAACATTTGGAGTTTGACAAAAGATATAGATCTGGCAATGAACAATGAAAATAAAACATCTATAAAATAAGAAATAAATTGGAAGGGAGTAGAAAGTAAAAAAACAAGAAGAAAGTAAAGAATGAAAAGTGAGTATCTGTATCAAATGCTGCTAAGGTTTGAGTAAAAAGGAAACAGATAACTGATAGCCAATTTAGCAAGATGGATGTCTTTAGTGTTTTAAAAGGGTTGGTTTAATTTGTTGGTGTAGGTGAAAACCTCTGCCAGTTTCTAGAGAGAAGAAAGTGGAGAAATTCAAGACAGAAAGTATTAACTGGCAACTTTCCCATAAGATTTGATTATAACGTTGTGTTATAACCTTCTATACTAAAAGAAAAAGTTAAAAAATGGCTGTAAATGGAGGGAAAAGAGAAATTATAGTCTGCATGTATGCTGAGAGTAATCATCATCTTTGACTTGGCTAGAAAGAATGCTCTAAAAATATTTGAGATTCAAGTTGGAAATCAATGTAGCAATAGTCTAGGAGAGATATGATGTCCGGTTTGAACTACGGCATCGGCATCGGAAAAAGAGGAAAATGGAAATACAAGTAAGACAATGTAGAAATAGAATGACTAAAGTTTGGTGATTGGCTTTAGAGGAAAAGAAAAGTGGTAAAAATAATGCTACAATATTTAGCTTTTGTGATTTGGTTGATGCCATAGTTCAGAAACAAAAGGTAGGTAGTAATGGGTGTCAGTTGAAGTGCATGCCTGGATTATTACAATGCCATAACCTCTGAGATCAGCCTCACTTCACTTAGATGAGCTTACAATGGTCAGGTGTCTCTCAAATGGCCTAAAATTAGCTAATTAGAGGAATTCTCTCTGATTTTGCAAACTGGAACTAGGAAAAAAGATCAGTCAAAACTTCAAAATTTGAAGCTCAAATATGAATCCTTTGGACTAAATATTTGTCCTCCTCCCCGCCCTGCAAATTTATATGTGGAAGCCCTAATCCCCTATGTAATATTATTTGAAGCTGGGGCCTCTGATAGGTTACTAGGTTATGAGGGTAGAGACTTCATGAATAGGATTAGCGCCTGGATAAGAAGAGACACAAAAGAGATGATCTTTTTCTCTCTCCATCATGTGAGAATAACAGCAAGATGCAGGCTGTCTGCAAACCAGGTAGGAAACCCTCACTGGGAACCAAATCAGTTGGCACCCTAGTCTTGAAATTCCCAGCCTCCAGAACTGTGAGGAACAAATTTCTGCTGTTTAAGTCACCCAATCTATAATATTTTGTTACAACAGCCTGAGCAGACTAAGACAATGAAAATCAGGAGTTACTGGCAATCACCTTCCTTACCCTATGAAGTGAATGGGTTTTATTGGACTTCATAAAACTGACACTTATAAAGAAGGTGGGAGAACAAGGATACAGACACTTAACTATTGTTAGTCTAGTCACACCCAAGTATATGTCCAATAAATTCCTCTTTAATCAAGTTAATTTTAGTGGAAATTGTTTGTAACCCAAAAAGGACATACTGATTGAGTAGTATGATTTAACAAGCTAAATTTTTCAAATATTATGTTTGAGGTATCAACAATAGCTAGTGGATTTTAGAAATTCAGACCTGGAATTCACATATGAGTTCAGAACTGCAGTGTCATACTTTGGACTATCGAGGATATAATCAAACTATTGGGCAAGAACTATACTCTAGTTGTGTATATAGGCATGGTAGGAATATTTTTAAATGTGTACATTGAATCCTATTGTAAAACATATACATAAAAAGAATAGTGGACTAAAGCCTACGGAAGATAATTTTAAGAAAAGTAATCAGAGATGTAAGGAGACCAAAAATGCAGTTGTCATAGAAAGTGAGGGCATGATAATTTGGGGGAAGCAAAGGTACTTAAGTGTGTGAGATTTTTTTCAAAGAGGTTAACTGTGATGATCACTATCACAAAACCACAGGGTTTGATATTTGAGAGGTTAATGACCTTTGAGAAAGCAGGTTTGGAGAGACAAGATTATTAGGTTAAGTTAGTATATGCATTGGCAAAGAGGAGACAGTAAGCAAAAAGTACACTTTTAAGTAATATTAAGAACAAGTATAGTAACTAAAGGGAAATTCAGAGTGGAAGAAAAATATTTTCCACCCTGAAATATCTTTCCACCCTGAATAAGAGTGATGCTTGAGCATATTTTTTAGATGAAAGTAAGGAAAACGGGATAAAAGGAGAGATTGAACATGTAAAAGTATAACCAATAGAGCATGGATAAGATTACCAATATGAGATGGAGAATTAGCCTTAGAAAGAAGGTGGGCCATGTCTTCTGTTAGAGGCAAGATGACCAACTATAGTTAAAAGAAAGGTAGAGAGATATTTTAAGGTAAAAAAGTGGAGTGGGGGAATGCCTGTTTTGAGGACCACAATTTTGAGAAAAGTGACCAGATATAGAAACATGAAAATATTGACAAGGATTTACGTCATCTACAGTAGCAAACAGAGTAGAGAATTATCCAGAAATGAACATGGTATGCCACATTTTTTTTTTTGTGGAAGCTGACCCTTGATTTCCAACTGATTCAGAAGATAGAATATCCAAGGACTGTGCCATAAAAGGATACTAAGAGAGAGAACATATGCTGGGATTTGTTTTGTGATCTATCCTGAAGAGGGTGTCTCTGAATCCTATGCCACAAGGAAAGCCTGAATTTCTCAGATGTGAGTGAGCCTTTCTAGAATGTTACCTTCTTATATGAACAAGAGAAAAGGACTATGAATTTGCTGATGAAAGTCTTTCCATAAGAGAAGATTGATGTTTAGAGAAAATTGATAGCTCCTACAAGGCTACCAACTTTGTATTGCCCTATCTTTACAATAAGGAGTTTCTGGAATGAATCACTGTCTTCATTTACAATACAACAGTATTATGGAGCTTGGTATACTAGAAACACTTGCTTCAGAAGATTTCAAATGAATATACATGCATATAAAATATCATCCGTTTACAAGTTATGGATCACCTTCAAGTTTACTGCTGGTTCTTTGTTTGAACCCTGAATCAACAGAAAAGCACATTTGCTCTCCAGGCTATGACTCTGATACAGGGAGACATTGTAATTGCTCCACATTCCTGAGTAATCATTTTCTGATGGGTTTATTGCCACCTCTGCCTTATCAGGGCATGGCACTTTTACGGACCCTGGTGATAAATTACCCTTTAGAGAGGGATAAGACAGTGCCACTTTAACAAGTGCAGTAAAGCACTTTTTATATTAGGAGAGTTCAGTGCATTTCCCATTCATCATACACCCTCAGTGATTTTACACAGATTTTACACTGTTGATTAGCTCATTAGTGGGGTTAATTGGATACATTAACTGGCAGAATTACAGCTTGACTATGAACCAGAGGCTGCAGCATTATAAATGACAGACAAACCACAGACATGCATGGCCAGCCTGAAGGAAGTTCTTCTCTTTGATTAACTTTCATTAGATTTCAATTCTTTCCCCCTCCCCACTCCTGCAGTTGACTCTACATGAATATTTACTATGGATTGGGTAAGTGAATAGATGACACTAATACACATTTCCAATCCTGTCCTCTCCTTCTAAAGTAACTCTCTGATAAATAATAAGAAAAAGTACAGTTTAGAAAAGTGATAGAAATAGCCTATGGGAAACCAAGAAATGATGATTGTCTAGAAATTTAATAAATTATCTTCTTATGAAAGCTAAGTTTTTATTGAATTGTTGATTATACATAGTGGGAATTAATACTTCTCTCATGGGTTGTACATCAGAATCACAGGGAAAGCATTTAAAAATACAGATTCCTAGACCCTCCCCTTAACCTATTAAAGTAAAACTTCTAGAGGTATGTTCAGGAATCTTTATAATTAAGAAATTCCCTAGGTGATTCTTACACAGTGAGTTTGGCACTGTGGTTAAAATAGCATGTCAGTTTGCATTAAACATCAAGCGGTGTGGAGTATTGACTTAATTAAACGAATTAAAGAGATATGTTACCATTTGAAGAAAGGCCACGGAACAAGACAAAACTTTCTTTGTACATCAAATTCGCTACCAGATACGGAATCTAAAGTGTTCGTGGAACTTTCTAAGGGGGATCTTCATCTATATTTCCTTTCTTCTTCTTTTTCTTCTACTAGTTATCACTGCCATTATGAAAAGAAATGTTTGGTTTTATTCTTTTCCTAAGAAATTATGTTTGCCTCAGTGAAACTCTAAGAATAGAGAAGATGTAAAAGTTACATTTTTGATTTGTGTGAGTCCGAGGTAAGACAGTGTTTGACAGCCGAGAGAGTGCTGGGCCTGCTTTGTAGTGTTAGCTCTGCTCCTTGCTTGTGAGACAACTTAGGATGTTCCAACCGCTCTGGGCCTCAATTCACTCTTTGTAAGTTGGAAATCAGTTATATCTCATGTACCAGGCTAACTATAAAGACTATATGACATTTTATCTGATTCTATGTGCATTTGTGAGAATGGTAGAAGTTGAAAAGGGTCATCTCCAAAGGAGGGGGGAGAGTCAGAGTCTGGCCACTTACGCAGCTAATTCACAAAGCAGAGGGTATTTAAAAAGTAAGAGGCCAGGCATGGTGGCTCAGCACTTTGGGAGGCTGAGGGGGTGGATCACGTGAGGTCAGGAGTTCAAGACCAGCCTGGCCAATATAGCGAAACTCCATCTCTACTCAAAAAATACAAAAATTAGCCGGCCACAGTGGCGTGCACCTGTAATTCTAGCTACTCGGGAGGCTGAGGCAGGAGAATCACTTGAACATGGGAGGTGGAGGTTGTGGTGAGCCAATATTGCACCATTGCATTCCAGCCTGGGTGACAGAACAAGACTCTGTCTCAGGAAAAAAAAAAAAAAAAAAAAGAGCATTTCCTGTGAATAACATGTGCAACCTATGTGGAAAAATAATCTGGGATTAAAGGAAAACTGTTGATGGTTGTAGCTAAATTTACCTCTACCGGCTACCCTTCAGGCAGACAGGATCAGCAACCATATAAACTGTCAATTGTAAAGGCAACCACTCAATGAGGAGAAGACAAGAGAAAAGGATTAGTTTGCAGAAGTGAAAAACACAAGAACAGGAATAGGATGAGGAGGAAGAAGAAAAACTAAAAACTCTGTGGGTTCTTGGAGGAAAGAAAGCCAGAAGTGCCAGGAAGAGGGAGAGAAAATGTCATAATATCTGTGGGGCAGGGTGTGCTTGTGTGAAAGAAATATTAGAAAAATCTACCTAAAAATGCATGGGAGCAACTACTAAGTTACTGTGTAGGAGGGACTTTGATAAATGATTGATGGATTGATTGAGACAGAGTCTCACTCTGTCGCCCAGGCTGGAGTGCAGTGGCTCGATCTGGGCTCACTGCCACCTCTGCCTCCCAGGATCCAGTGATTCTCCCACCTCAGCCTCCCAAGTAGCTGGGACCTCAGACATGTGCCAACACGCCCAGCTAATGTTCCTATTTTTGGTAGAGATGGGGTTTCACCATGTTGCCCAGGCTGGTCTCAAATTCCTCAGCTCAGGCAATCTGTCCACCTCGGCCTCCCAAAGTGCTAGGATTACACATGTGAGCCACCACACACCCGATCTGATAAATGATTTAAACAGAACTGAACCCAAAGTATACATTTATAGTGATTTTACATTCTGGAATTTAGTACTAGATTTGCATTCCAGATCATGATAAACCTTTTATTTTACCTGAAATAAAATGTATCATGAGATTGACTATTGCTACTGAAATTTCATTATGTGAGTTGAAGGCAAATGCTCTCAGTGCTTTTCTGTAAGAGTGAAGCAAAACTTTTAAGAGTATTGTGACTTGTGTTAACAGGACATCGTGATGTTTCTGGGTAGCCTAGAGCCCATGAAATTGTAGCTTAAGCTCCACACAGGTCAGAGAGTACTATGTTTAAGAAACTTTAGGTGTTTTGGCATATTGTAACTTTTAAGAAAAATTTTTATTTGTTCTCTATGAGAGGTTGTTTTCAGGCATTTGTTTTTCTCTCTTTGGTTGTGTAATATTTTGTTTTTAAATATATTAATGAACTCTTAATAATGGCCCAAAATATGACAATGTTGTCTCTTAAAACATAAGAATGAGGATGTTTCCAAACATATGCATTTTTAAAAATTTTCCCATATTGTGAGAGCCAAATAAAATGTAACCTATTAAATAAATGTCTTCCTGCTCAATCAGATCTCTTTCTTTTCTGAAATTCTATCACATGCTCTTTATGCACCTTATGAGGCACTTGTTTCATGTTCTGTCATATTTATTTGCATATTAACTTTATCTTCCTTACTAGAATATCTATTTCTGAGAGAAATTATGTTTAATAAATTATAAAATAGGCACACTGCTAACGACTGTAATTCTCATAATACGCATAAAGATCAGTGAAGAACAAAGAGTAAACCAAACAGAACATAGATTGTGATGAACACTGATTCCACATTCTTTCAAAGTTCATGCAATGAATTCAGCAGATCTCACAGCCTACAGGAAAAGTATGAATATACATGAATATTAAATTAATTATTTTTATATCTTAGTGGAGTCTAAAATGATAAAATAAGGGTAAATAAATGCATATTTTGAAGAGTATTGAATTAGGGAAATGGAATATTTTCTTGAGTATATTGTCAGTTATTCTTGGCCACGCTGAGAAATGAAAACAACTTGAAGGAAAACAGACTAGACACAAATTGAACAATGTATTGAAATGTAATCACAAAGCAAAACAAAATATATGTTTAAATATGCAAAATGTAAGAGGGAATACCATTTTATTACTGTTCTGGAAGGCAATTGAGAACCAACAAAGAGTGCTAAAGGACAGAAAAAAGCAGCAAATGCATTTAAAATATAAAGTATCTCAATTTGTATTTCTCTCTTCTAAAAAGCCTTATTATTCCCCATCTCCTAAATTGGAGTTCACAGTTTATTTCTCCTGGACACGCTAGCACAATCACCTAGGACAGAAGCCAATCAACTACGGCAGGAGGAGCATTGGGAGAGGAAACTCCACAAATGAGTGGGGGCTGGAAATTATCCTGTTGCTTTTTATCTGCCATAGGACTTGGCTGGACACTTTGGACACAGAAAATCAGTTTTGTATCTCTACTATAGAGGTATGACTTCCTTCAGTTCTTCATCAGTTGACTCATTACTCATTGATTCCAGGGCCCAAATTTCAACCTCAGGCTACTTTGCTGGAGCCCTGTCACTGTTAAAAGCTATGCGTAGTCTTCTCTTTCTAAGCCCAAAATCTTTTCCATGCTCCTTTTGACCTGTTGGCAAGGAGGTATCTCCAAGCAGAATAAGTCAATGAGTACCAGATGCCTGACTTAATCTTGTCACATCTTGAGCCCCTGCTTCAACTGGAGTCCATTGAAATCAATACTAGTGTGGATTCTAAGCCATCACACCCATTTAAATACCATTTAAATTTCAGGAAAGTAAGGCAATGATAGATCAGTTAAAATATTGAACATAACTTCTTGAAACTCAGCATGTTCACTAATGGAACACTCTTTTAATTTTCTCCTTTCATTGAACAAATTTGCCTGCAAATTAGTATAAAATAGTAATACATAGAAATATAATAAATTGAGTTATCATTTCTTAATATTTATAAAATGTAAAGCATGGATAAATACATGAATAGGATAGTAACAAAAACCAAACTGGCTAACTACAATCTGGAATCTAAATTTTGTTTCTTCAGAGCTAACTTGTCCTTTGGAAAACTTCCTTTTCTAGCATAAGGCCTAATACATAATAGGCACTCTATAAATAATTGTTGCAAGGATAAGTGTGTTTCTCTCTGCTAGAAGTTATTAGCAAACAGAAATAAAATACATAAATAAGGCAGGACAGGCTCATATAATAAATAAATAGCTTCATCTTAATAAAAATCTAAAATACAATATTAGTTTCAAAAGCACAGTATGATGATAATGAAATATATGTAGATTTATTTTGCCTGATTTAAGTAGTTTAGTTAGTTTGAATACAGTCCTTGAATAATTTAACTGGAGTATAGTTTAGTTAGTTATAGCATATAGTTTGGTTCAAGTATAGTAGAGTTTAGTTGTAGTTGGTAAGAATAAGAGTATATAGATGGGGGTGTGTGTGTGTGTGTGTGTTTTCATTACACAATGCATGTCTGCATATCTTTGAACCCAGGACAACAAACAGGTTCCATATTGTTTACCAACACTGATTTATTGGGAGTGCCTATCTAGAGCAGTGGTCCCCAGTCTTTCTGGCAAAAAGCGCCGGTTTAATGGAAGACAATTTTCCTGTGGATGGAGGGGGGAAATGGTTTCAGGATGAAACTGTTCCATCTCATATCATCAGGCATTGGTTAGATTCTCATAAGGAGCACATGACCTAGATCCCTCGCATGTGCAGTTCACAACAGGGTTCACAGTCCTATGAGAATCTAATGCTGCCACTGATCTGACAGTGTGTCCGGAATTGCTTTCTTCCACTGGGTTCTTGGTCTCCCTGACTTCAAGAATGAAGCCACGGACCCTCACGGTGAGTGTTACAGCTCCTAGGGATGATGTGTCTGTGTTAATTCAGATGTTCAGATGGGTCCAGAATTTCTTCCTTCCCATGGATTCGTGGTCTCGCTGACTTCAGGAGTGAAGCCGCGGACCTTCGCAGTGAGTGTTACAGCTCTTAAAGGTGGCGCGTCTGGAGCTGTTTGTTTCTCCCGGTGGGTTCGTGGTCTTGCTGACTTCAGGAGTGAAGCTGCAGACCCTCGCAGTGGGTGTTACAATTCATAAAGATAGTGCGGGCCCAAAGAGTGAGCAGCAGCAAGATTTATTGTGAAGAGCAAAAGAACAAACCTTCCACAGCATGGAAGGGGACCCAAGCAGGTTGCTGCCGCTGGCTGGGGTGGCCAGCTTTTATTCCCTTATTTGACCCCGCCCACATCCTGCTGATTGGTCCATTTTACAGAGTGCTGATTGGTCCATTTTACAGAGTACTGACTGGTGCATTTACAATCCTTTAGCCAGACACAGAGTGCTGATTGGTGCCTTTTTACAGAGGGCCGATTGGTGCACTTACAATCCTTTAGCTAGACACAAAGTGCTAATTGGTGCTTTGTTACAGAGAGCTGATTGGTGCATTTACAATCCTTTAGCTAGACACAGAGGGCTGATTGGTGCATTTACAATCCTCTAGCTAGATAGAAAAGTTCTCCAAGTCCCCATTCCACCCAGGAAGTCCAGCTGGCTTAACCTCTCAACTGGAGGCAGAGCTCAGTTGGTCATGCTTCATCGTCTACCACTGACCTCCTGCTGTGCAGCCTGGGGTTCCCAACAGGCTACTGACTAGTAAGGGTCCATGGCCCGGAGGCTGGGGACATTTGGCTTAGAGTATTACATTGAAAAATAGTATAACCTTGAGTTTGGACTCAATAGAAAAGCTCCAAGTTGAAGTTTTAATACCTGCCAAGAATTTGGGGTAAAGTGGTAGTATGTGTGTAGTGTAGTCCTATTCCTACACTTCCCTGAAATGATATGAGTTCTCTTTAGTATTTGGGGTAAAACAAAGTTGAGTTCAAGAAATACATACTCATATAAAACAAAAAATTCAGCCAGGCGCAGTGGCTTACACCTGTAATCCCAGCACTTTGGGAGGCTGAGGCGGGCGGATCATGAGGTCAGGAAATCGAGACCATCCTGGCTAACATGGTGAAACCCCGTCTCCACTAAAAATACAAAAAATTAGCCAGGCGTACTGGCGGGCGCCTGTAGTCCCAGCTACTCAGAAGGCTGAGGCAGGAGAATGGAGTGGACCCCGGAGGCAGAGCTTGCAGTGAGCCGAGATCGCGCCACTGCACTCCAGCCTGGGGGACAGAGTGAGACTCCTTCTCAAAAAAATTAAAAAAAATTCATTTCTTTCATTCAATTTATTTTAGAAATTGAATAAAAAATCCAAATATATAAAATATTAGGCACTGGTATTTTATAATCCCTACTCTTAAGCTCCCTTGAGTTGTAACTATAGCTTGAATATAAAAGATCTTTAATGTCAAAAGCATTTATGATACTGCATATGCACTAGGATCAAGCTGCAAATACAAAGTTGAATAAGAGACAGTCACTGCTCTCAAGGATTTATACTTTAGAATATGCTTTTGGCCACAAATAGTGCCAGCCTAAAAAGTTTAGAGAGCTTAACACAAACACTATTAGTGAAAACTGGCATTCGACAGTGTTATCCACATATGTAGTCAGCATATGTATCTACCTACAGTCCTCTGAGAGAAAGGAATTAGAACATCCAGCATAGCCGGATAATAATTCATGCAGTCTTGAGACCAAACAGCCATTCTGTGTATATTCCACTCCAGTGTTTTCTTCTAGAATTGTGAATGTCATTCTGTCTCTCATTGCTGGCTCTGTGCTGCCCTAGATCACAGTGCTTCTTGAAGGCTGCTAGGGAATGAACAATTTTGTTTCTATTCCCAGGATAACATCTGTAGGAAAACAACTCAGGCAGATATGTTCAGTTATGCAAGCAAGTACCACTTTCTTTTTATCTTCAGAAAGTCATTTGAGGCATGATTATGCAGCACCTGCCAAGATGTTATTGGGTGTTTCTTTCCCTCTTAGGAAGATGTAGTTCTGATGACCCTAATTGTATTGGAAAGAAAAAGGGTCGTGATTAGATGGTTATAGTCTCTCATTGGAAGGCAGATTTCTAGTTGAGACTTTTTATTTTCACTACAGCTTGTTCATGTAAATGAGAAAAAAATGCCACACTCACACAAATCCTCCAAATAAAATAACACATACTCAGCATATCAATCTGGATTTTATCTTCCTCAAAATGGATTCATCTCTACAAAATGTCCAATCTTTCCAACCCTTCCACTTTCTGTTGTAATTAAACACCTTTTAACGTAAATTACTATATTTTGCTATGTTAATTGCACTTACTTTTTATTCTTTTGCCTTACTGCGAAAAACATTTTCTTCATTACAAATAGAGAACTGAATATTTAAAGCTTTGCTATGTCATCTCTTTTACTACCTATATGTGCTTATTAGCCATTTCATAACCTGTGAATTGCTTACATTCCATCATATGCCTCAGCAGAGACTGCTGATCCTGCCTTTGCAGTGCTCCATGATCACTGCATGGAAATTGGATAAAACAATTCCAATTATATACAATTTCTGTCTCACTTGAATTCTTCTCTAGATAGGCTAAACTTCTCACTAAAATGTGCTTAATTTGTTCTCCTCTTCACTGTATGGAATCCCCTCTTGGCTTAACATTTTGCACTTGGCCCTTGAGATTTACTCTCCATCGTTTTTCTTACTCTGTGTACCAGTAATTGACTTTTCTGTTCTGCAGCGCTAGACTTCTTTTCAAGACTTACATTTAATTTTTCTCAGTGGAAAACTCCAATGAGAGATGGGTGGCTGTGCACAGAGAACTGCCATTGCATTTAAATATCTCTATTAACTTGTGATTATCAGTGGCTGTTTCCTTTACTGCGAGCCACAGCTGCAGTTGGGCACCCTTCTATAGATGCAAGTCCTGCCATGTTCAATCCTAGGAGAGGCAGAGGTCGCCAGCTGTTGCCAATCCATCTGATACTTCACCTTCCTTCTTGATCTCCCATAAGTGTGTCTATACAATTGTAAAATGTCCTTTATTAAACTCTTTTCAATGACCATTTTTAAGTATGCAATATATATTTCCTGCTAGATCTCTGCTAGATACATGCCCTGCCTCACCCTAACCAACATCAACAAAGACTGAGAAGAGAACAAATGAAAATATTGAAAGGCCAGGTATGGTGACCCACGCCTTTAATCCCAGCACTTTGGGAGGCCGAGGTGGGCAGATTGCTTGAGGCCAGGAGTTTGAGAACAGTCTGGCCAACATGGCAAAAACCCATCTCTACTAAAATTACAAACATTAGCCGGGTGTGATGGTGCACACCTGTATTTCCAGCTACATCGGGAAGCTGAGGCATGAGAATTGATTGAACCCAGTAGGCCAAGGTTGCAATGAGCCAAGATCGCACCACTGCATTCCAGCCTGGGCAGCAGAGTGAGACTCTGTCTGAAAAAAAAATAATTAATTAATTAATTAATTAATAGCCGATTTAAAAAGAGAAAATATGGAAAGTCTCATTAAGGAAACAACAGAACATATAAGAAACAAGTTTAAATTTTCAAATGGAAAAAATATGAATAACCACCATAGGAACTGGGTAAGCAGTGCATGGAATCTCTTTCTTATAACAGCAGGTAGGTCTAAAATTATCTCAAAATTAAAGCTTAATTGTAAAAATCTATTTTAGAAGAAGAAAAACATGATTTTACTTTGAAAGTATTACTACTCAGGGTAAAAATATAAGACCCCAAATAATAACTTTTCATCATATCTTTAAACTCTAAACCATAGTATTGACACTATTTTCAAAACTCCATAAGAGTTTTCTATTTTTTTTTTACCTAGAATCTGCCTCTCATTACCTTTACAGATTATTTGGTAAAGGTACTTTCAGGAAATAAATAAGTGGCTATTTTTATCTTTTAATTATTAAGCAACTAGTAGCAATATTTTATATATTAGGGATATCAATGAGTAGCCATGGCCAGTCTATGTAGGGCCTTATAGAACTTGATATAGATTTAGAATTTTATTATAATTTGTGAGTCAGGTTAACATTAAGAGTAAAGTTTGCATTAGAATTAGCCTATAATCTTTGTTTATTCTATCATTTACAAAATAATATTTTTCATATTATGTAATTTATTGTGAGAATTTTGATTTATGATTCGAGCTTACCTAAATTTCTTAAGTAGATTTTTGCCACCTCCAGATAATACAAATATCTTATACATTTTTCCAATATGTTAATACTTATTTTAACTTTACATTTAGAACTTTAATACATCCAAAATTTATTATTGTATATTATAAGGTAAAAGTTTATATATTTTTTCTTAATAGACTATTGGGCACCCTAGAGTCATTTTTTGAAACACATTTGTCTCCTACTTGTTTGGTCATATTATTATATTATTATTTCCACATAAATACTTTGATCAATTTCTTTACTTTCTATTTTTTCCACTGACATCTTAGACATTTACTACACAAATATCACACTATTCTGATTAAAGCAGCTTGGCAGCCAATGGTCAGGTAACTCTTCACTATTTTTTTTTATTATTTGTTTAGGAACTTCATACTATTTTTCCATATGAACTTTAAAATAATTTTCTATTTTAAAAATGTCCATTGTAATTCTGGTTGATATCAAATTAAATGTATATATTTATATAACCAGATGACTATTTTTAAAATATGATGGCTTTCCTTCATTTTATGTATTCATTTATTCAGGCATCTATTTTCCCAAAAGTGCATTTCACTTATTTGTGTGTGTGTGTGTGTGCACGCGCGCGTGCGTGCGCAATATTTAAATTAAGCTTTTGGTAATACGATTAGGCCAGCGGTTTGTCTCTTAAGTGTGTTAAAATTCGCCAGTAATACCACCTTGGCTTTGAAAATCGTTTTAAGTTTTGAAACGTTCAATCTTTTATCGCTTTTTAAACCAGTTATTATCATATATATTTTGCTGGGAAATCATCAAAGATGTCATACATGTGCACAGACTGTCACTTATAGTAATTTAAATCACTTTCATGTTTGTAGTTCTATCCAGTTCCTCAATCCTTAGGTTTGTATGCATTCTTTTTCTCTCTCTCTTTTTTTGTTTTGTTTTGTTTTTTGTTTTTTTTGTCTGTTTGTTTTGTGAGACGGAGTCTCGCTCTGGCTCTGTCGCCCAGGCTGGAGTGCAGTGGCGCGATCTCTGCTCACTGCAACCTCCGCCTCCCGGGTTCAAGCGGTTCTCCTGCTTCAGCCTTCTGAGTAGCTGGGACTACAGGCATGTGCCACCACGCCCAGCTAATTTATTGTATTTTTCACTAGAGACGAGGTTTCACCGTGTTAGCCAGGATGGTCTCGATCTCCTGACCTCGTGATCCACCCACCTTGGCCTCTCAATTTTCTCTCTTTCATAATAACACTTTATAAGGAAAGAGAAGTGGATTATATCAGAATTTTATATTAGTTTAGTTTCTACTTTGAAGCTAATCTAAGCTTTTATCATACTCATTCAACTCAATATTTTTGGTTTATTTTGTTGTTCTTTTTCTATTTTCATAACTAAATAATAACATACATTTTCTATTATTTCTGAAAAAAGTATTTAAACAAATATGATTTATTTTTATCAGGAGCTTTGATATGTTGTTTTAAAAATGTCTTTTTAATTTAGATAGGTTTACATTTTAAATTTCTGTTTATTTAATATTCGGCTTATTTTTGTTGTTGGCTTTCCAGATTTATTACATGAAGGTCTGAGAACATGGCCTCTAAAATCCTTGCTGTTAGCATTTACTGAGACTGTGTTTGCCGCCAAGTATGAGATTTATTTTTGTAACGGTTTCACAGACAAAAGAGAAGAATGTGTTTTTTCTCTGTTGATTCGGACATTCTCTTACCTTTGGTTTATAGTCCAGTTTCCAAATTACTTTTTCCCTACTCTTGAAGTGACAGTGATTGTAAGGATGGAAGCAATTATGTGGGTGAGAGACAATACAGTCTACATCAGTTGCTTCAGAAAGTGACATGCTGTTGTTGCCCATTGTGGTCCCTCAGCGATTCTGTGATTGCTACTGTATAATGTGATTTTAGCTACTTTCCCTTCTGTTTGAATTAATGTTTCTTTGTTGCTCTTAGCTAACATGTTATTCAAATTCAAAACATTATTATACTTCTCTGTTTTCTATTTCAGATCAAATCTTATGACAAACCTGATTCCTACTCATTTTAGTGTCAGTCCCCTTAAGGTACAACCAGCAGCCTTCATGCTTTTAGAAAGAGCAAGGAAGCACAATTAGTTGAGCTGACATCTTAAAGGCTTACTGTTAAAAATACCTATAAATCAAAACTCATAAAACACATTAACATTTTTAAGCAAAATTCTCCCAAAGGCCACTTAAAGGAGGATAAATATGAGCTTTCTTTCCACATGTCTCACATCATTGCTTTTTAAATACTTTTCTCTTTGATATTTTGGAAGGGACAATCATGCCATTATATGTCTGCTTTAGAAAAGCCATTTTAAACAACTAATGTGAGAAAAATCAATCTGAACTCGCGATCCATTTTAAGCACCATTATAGTAAAACGTCTGTCTGCACATAACATATGTGCCCATGTTTAAGATGCTTGGAGAAATGTACTACATCCATAAAAGATATAGTTGATGTAAAAGTATTGATCTTGCAAAATGTAAGGGGTAAAAAGTGTATTACTGAGTGGATATAATTTCTAAAAATTACCTAGTGAAAATTCAAGAATAATGGTTTATATCTGGGATACTTTTTCATGTAATTTCATTCACACCAATAAGGAATGGTTACCAAGCAGCAATTCTTTCCAGTATTAATCACGAACACAAAGACACACACACACGTGCAAACCCACATAAACTTGAAGGAACACATATGTGCGCTTGCACGCACTTAACTGTGCCTACACACACACTCACATAGATATACACACGCATACATAACCTTGAATATCTCTAACTTTGGGAACCCTGTTGCCAGTTCTTTTCAAACTGAAATTATGCATAAGAAGAATTTTTTCCAAAAAACTCTAGGCCACCAGAGACTTATGAAAGCAAAGGTCTTGGAAATAGGGACTGAGAATTTGTCTATACACTATCCTCCCCACCGCCACCCCCAGGCAGTATCATGCAAGGAGTTCCTGAACCATTATACTTTCTCATAAGCATAACAAACCTTGACATAATAATAAGAATGACATCTAAAATATAATTTATTTTATCTTGTTCTACTATTTAGCAAAATTTTAGCCAACTGTTCTCCTAAGATTTACACATTTTAAATGAAGAAACAAATAAGAGACCCTACTTAATAAACTCTAGTCCAGACCCTCTTTATTACTAGCAATGGAACTCTGCTTAAATTTCAGTTTTTCTGAGCCTCATTTTTCTTATCTGAAAAATGAGAATAATAAAATTCCTTCTCTTCCTTATAAGCCCCAGCAAGTGAAGTGAACTAAAACATGAATATTTTTAACTGTAAAGCAGTAGACAACATTACTAGCTTTTAAATAGCCTTATTAATATATTTTGACAATTCCCTTCCTTATCACTAGTAAATAAAAATTGTAAATTTATATTCTGCCTGCTGGTTCAAAGAGCCAGAAAAATATATTTATCAAGGTGAGGTATGGTTGCTTTCTAAACAAAATCTTCCTAAAAAGCTTTCCACCATATAAAGAGAACATAGTTTTGTGAGAAGTGCACTGAACTGGGAATTAAAGTACAGAATTCCACTAATTACTGATGACAATCAAAGATCTGATATTCTGCATTCTCCAAGTACCATTGAAATTGAAATCTGGAAATGTGGGTAAAGGTCTTTTTTTATTTTTAGAGTCAGGGTCTTGCTCTGTCACCCAGGCTGCAATGCAGTGGCTTTTTGAGGCTCACTACAACCTCAAACTCTTGGGCTCAGATGATCCTCAGTCTCCCAGTGGTCTTTGTAGACAGCCTGATGGAGTCTCATGGCACAGAAGATTAATTAAACAATGTCATTCAATTCTAATTAATTTCTGCAATTCAAAATAAATAAATAAGGTATATAATTCCAAATCCTACTTTGGCCAATAGTTACCCATGGTGTTTGGACCAAATGGACTTATTTTTCTTGGGCTGATTTAGACTTAAATTGTTTCTATGTCATTAGTTATATCCATATCTACATTTATATTCATATAAAGTTCAGATTAAGGACACAAAAACTCTTTGGTTAAACTATTATTAAATGTTGACTCAACCACAATTTTCACTATTCTCCGTTAAGAAAAACTGCTATTTTAAAAATCTCAATTGCTCCTCGTCCAAAAAATTAGAGATCTGTTTATCTTCATTTTCACAGTGATTGTGCTCGTGATGATTCCAAAAATCACATTGTTGTTAATGTTAGTTAATAATAATTATGCTAGATCACATAATAATTTTAAGCTTTTGTCATCTTGAGATGGTCTGTTTGCCCACTCCTTGACCCTGGGCAGGCTGTGTGTCATGCTTTAACCAATAGAAATGCAATAGAAACATTGCCTATCTGTGACAAAAGTTTTCTTACTGCCATGTGACTAATCCCGGACTAATCTACTGAATAATGAGCCAACATAGGCAAGTTGTCTGCCCCCTCTCAATCCTCTGTTGCTCCAGCCACCAGTTACCCAGTCATCAGGGGCAGAGCTGTCCCCTGAACTGCAGCTCACTGCAAATGTCAATGAGACGAAATTGCCCACTGAACCCAACCCCAAATGCTGAATATAGAACTGTGAGCTAAATATAGTTTTAAGGCACTAAGTATTAGAGGGTCTTCTAAGCAAAAAATCATCAATAAATAGAAATAACCAGAAAAATAAAAAGAAAATCTAAATGTGGATATTAACAAATGATAAGTTGATTATAAAATTTATATTGAAAGGCAAAGATACTAGAATAGACAAAACAATTCTGAGAAAGAAGAACAAAGCTGGAGGAGTCACATTACTTTATTTCAAGACTTACTGGGAGGTTACAGTAATCAAGACAGTGTGGTAATGGATAAATAATAGAAACACAGATCAATGGGACAGAATTGAGAAATACTAACATAATTAACTGATTTATCCAAAGTTGCAAAGTAAATTCAAAGGAGAAATAGCAATTTGGAGAAATAACTGATTCTAGGGCTGGGGCAGGAAAAATAAAAAATGAGTCTGGGGCAATTCGTAGTGACAGTCAATAAGAAAATACTAAAAATAGAATCAGAGCACTCCAAAGAGATAGCAGAGCCAATCTGAATGCACTTCCAGTGGTAAAGCTGAAACGACTGAGCAACAAAATAAATAACAGTATTGAATTACAACTCAAAGTGTAAAATAAATATCCATAACTCCATGCTATATATATAATTGAATAAATAAATAAATTGAAATGAATAGACAAATCTATAAAAAAGAATTTGGAATAGTTTATAGAAAAACTTCCCATGAGGGGGAGTTTATTTTCCCCATTTCTTGAGTATAGACTGCTCTTGGTGATTTATTTAAAAGATTAAAATTTAAAAAGGGATGAAAAAGTAGTTTATAGTGGAGAAGTTTGGCAAACTTTAACTTAACCAAGACATCAAGGTTACTATCACCAGAAATAAAATGTGATGTTTATAATATGTACCCCTGATACCATGTGATAAGAAGACAGTCACCCTTTAAAAACTGTATTCTTCCCCATAACCCACATCCCTAGTCTCACCAGCAGAAAAAAAAAAAAGGAAAATAAATTAGGGATATCATTCAAAACTTTCAGGATCTTTAAATGTAAGGAAATATTGAGTAAATATTCAGGCAACAGGAGACTAAGGAGAAATGATGATTAAATGTAAGGTTGTCTCCTAGATAGGATTCTAGAACAGAAAAATGACATTAGTAGAACATTAATGGCGAGTGAGGTGAATAGATGTGATTATAAAAAGGCAAACACAAGAGATCCTTGTAGTGTTCAACTGCTCTATACCCTGACTGTGGTTGTAAACACATAAACCTAAACATGTGATAAAATGGCATAGAAATAAATACACACACACCAGTACAAGTAATACTGGGAAAATTTGAATAAGTCCTGTAAGATACATGTTAATATCCTGGTTGTGATATTGTACCATATATATTTGCAAGATGTTACCATTAGGGAAATCAGGCAGAGTACAGAGAATCTTGACGTACTTTTTACAAATGCATACAAATCTACAATCATCTCAATTTTTTAAAAAAGTATAATTTTAAAAATTAATCAGAAAAAAAAGGATAGCCTCTTCAGTTTTCACTTTGAGATGGGCACTGGTAAGTTCGGTGTTGTAAAACTACACACTGTGGCACGGTCTGGGAGGGGAGAAAGCAGCTAGCCCAGCCAGAGTGTTCCACATGAGTTAGCTATGTGAGATGGTGGTTGAGCTACCCCATTAGGCATTAATTAAGGGATGTAAGAAGACTTTCCACAAAGGAGGAATAGTGTGAATGGAACCATGTAGACCAGAAGTAGCATGACAGCATATTATGAGAGAGAAAAGTGTGAGGACAGAGACAGTGAAGACTAAGACAAAAGTCAGGTAGCTGCCAGGCCACCAAGCATCTTTGATGTCACAATCAAGAGATTCGAGTTTTTATAGAAGTGATGAAGAGTCAATGGAATGATTATATATGGGATTTAAACAGTTTATTCTGGCTCTAACCAAAAAATAATTGGAACTCGGGGCACAAGATTTAGAAATATTTACTCAAATTTCATAACCAACTGAGATAATCTCTTTGAGCATGACAAAGATAAATGGTGACAATGAGGGAGTAGAAGGAGGATAGATTAAATATCTTCTGTTGTCTTTAAAGACACATTGATTACTTACAGATGGCTAAAGAATGAAAGTTACATAGAATGGGTTTTGCCTTAAGTGACTGAGTGTGAGGTGGGGCATTTGTCACAGGCAAATAACCCAGGAGGACCAGCAGGTCTGAAGGAAAAAAAAGTGGATTCAGTTTTAGCCTTCTGGCTGAAAGTGTCTAGCAGAGCTCCAGCAGGATATAATGTCCCAGGAAATGGCCCACTATTCTCTTTATGTACAGATGTTCCCTAAATTTCTATCAGAGCACCTATAACATTTTACTTTATGTAGATTGATTTAAACCTGCTAAACTCAAAGCCCTCAAAATCAAGGGCTATTTTGTGTACCTTTTTATTGGAATCTAGCACATTTTCTGGCACATGGACGGTGTGACAGGATGTCAAAATGGGCTATTTCTGTTTCAGAATTTTTGAAAAGACTCACAGGCCAAGAACAATTGTTTCCATGCACTCCACATCCTAAAACAAGGTTCTAGAGACTTTTGTAAGATGTATTAAGAGATTGTAATAAGATGTTGCCAGGATTAGCCCATTTCTCCCCTTTGTTCTTATTGTTGTAAAGGGGAGTTGGGTATTGTATAGAACAGGAAATGAGAATTTGAGGAGATAATTTTTTGAAAATATTTTTTGAAAGTGAATCATGGTTAGAATTCTGTGACATTTGCTCCTCCATCTGATGGAGAAGGATGAAGAGAATGTAATGTTTCTTTACTACTTCAAGTCAGGTGAGTGGGGCTTCACGGAAATTGTTTGGAGTGCCTAATACGAATTTTCTGAAGCTCAAGGGATTTGGGTTCTAGCATTTTCTCCCACAGAATAAGTCAAAACGATAAAACACTTGAATTATATATATCTGAAATGTCAAAATAAAAAAAGGAAAAGAAAGATAAGCCTATGATGGAGAAAACCTTATTTTTCCTGAAGGCAGGGCAAATACCATGTGTTTGGGACCTCATGAGAATTCTGAACTTAGTTGGCCTAGGGTCATCTTAACAATAGCCCTAAAAGGGATAAAGGGTTTCCATCAGAGAGGTGATTACCTGCAGACCAATGGCTGACAGAGGTGGTCAAAATGGGAGTAGATGAATGCAAAGGGAATTACAGGTACAAGTCCCATCTGGAGGATCTCCGAGGCACTCACAGAAACCCCAAAAGAGAAAGAACCAAAAATTGTTTCTCTACCATCCTGCATATGTTGACACCAAATTCCAAGTTTAATAATCTAGTTAGGTCTTTAATATCTCTTATCTTTCTTCTATCCCCAGCAACCCAATAAAAGCCAGCAAGGGAAGGTAGGATTAGAGAAGTGATTTCATAAATATAGTCCTGGAGCAGGAGAAGCACCAAAGAACTTGGCAGAAATCAAATCCTCAGGCCCCATAAGACTCTACTGAAACAGAAATGCTAAGGGAGAGGCAAAGCAACCTGCTTAAAAATTCCTCCAGGTGGATCTGACTCATGCTAACATCTGATAATCACTGAGTTAGAGAAATGAAGAGCGGAAGGGGTTTCACTGCATCACACTTGGCCATTACAGGCCTGAGATGTAGAAGGAAAAGAGCTCCCAGACAGATCAAGAGGACATTTGAATAGGATATAAATGTTAAATAACTGAAATTGAGACTTCCCTTTGTCCTAGAAAGGACTCAAAGAATTGATAGTCCAGATGCAAGTGAAGAGGAAAGAATGAGTTTAGAGAGTGTGTTTGGTAAGAAAAGGGGGAAAATAGAGCCTTTTTCTGATTGTTTCCTGCAGAGTTTAGTTCATACAATAAACTTGTCAGGAAGCTACCAAATATATGTGTACATGTATTTGAATAAGTTTATTATACAAGTCTGAAGTTCAAGCGAAAAGTCAGAAGAAGAGATAATGATTTTGCTGTCCATTGCATATGGATGCTTGTTAAATCCCTGAGAAATGTGGAGAAATGTAGAAACCATCAGGGAACAAAAGATAGGAGCCTGAAAACACCAATATTTAAATAAGAGCTGAAGGAAGAAGATCTCACAGGCGGATGGAAACAGAATTGTTAGAAATGCCAAAGAAAAGCTAAGAGAAAGTGGTAAAATACATGGCAAAGCAGAAGAGTCAAAGAACAGAAATAAATTATGAATGGTTTAAATTTCCCCTAGAGACCAGAGAGTGCATGTGAAAATGTGGATTATTTTTCTTCCCCAGAAGCTTAGCAGGCAACAGACGAGAGATAGGCCAGGAGTTGGAGCTGAGGGTAGGAGCAGAAAGAAAGATTCTAATTCACATGAGACAGAATGTGGAGGATATTTATAAGGTTCAGGTAAAATAACTACAAGAATGGAATTGGAATATTCCTAACACAAAGAAATGATAAATGCTTGAGATGAGGAGTATCTCAACTATCCTGATTTGATCATTACACATTGTATGCTTGTATGAAGAGATCATGTGTATCCCACAAATATGTACAATTAGTATGTATTCATAATAATTAAACAGTAATTTTTAAAGAACCATTAGATATTAAGATGCTGAGCATGTAGGACAAGTTGTAGTGACAGAGCAAGATCCAGAAAGGGTGGAGGAAGGGAGGGATAGTGGGCACAGGGGAACAACTTCGTTATTGGTTAAACAGCTGGTTGTTTAAACAAAATTTTATGATGGTTCTTTCAGAACAGCAATTGAATGTCTATTAATTATTTATGTGTAATATTTAGACTGTAGGTGGTTCTAGAAATTCTTTGCCTTTCATGAATCACCTAAAGTAGCACAAATTTAAATTGTCATGAGGTCTAATGCTACAAAATATCAGCTAATAATTCCTTATTATGCCCACGCACAGTGAATTTCAAATAACATTGACTTTTCCTGGCAGTAGCATCTATTTATCCCCAATTAGAACTTCACTTATTATTTCCATACTGACACTAAATTTGATAGATGAATCAGCCCATCTTGCAGTTTGTATTCACATATTTCTCCTTTCCTTATGTATATTTTGGCATTTATGTATCTTACTGATGATTGGAGCAAGGGTTATGGCTGCTTATCAGGCTACTAAAAAACAGAAGGATTTATATAGAAATGTTCAACCTTAAAATTCACAGCTTTTACTTACCCAATAACTTATGAATTCTTTAAACAAATATTTGTTACAATAGGTAGTTTAGCTATGATGACACAGCAAGGAACAGGATATATGTGCCCCTTTATCTTGGAAATTCAAAAATCACAAGAAAGATACAGGCAATTGAACAAAAATTATCAAATAGTGAGATGCACGCTAGGATAAGGTTACTTTCTAATACATAGGTGCACACATAGAGAATTGGTTGAGGACATGAGAGGGAACATTACAGAGGAAAAGTTGAGCAGGGCACAAATACTAGAAGGTTTATATCAGCATTACACAGTAATATTATAGAGATTTAGTAATGATAAATGGCTGCTCCAAGAAGGCAAGTGGGCCTAGAAGTCATATGATAAATCTATAGGTATATAAATAAGTTAAGGATATGTTGTAATAACCTTAATGAAAACAATGGTCTTTATTATACTCATAGCAATGAGAATGAAGACACATATACAAATTATATATATATGATGCATGTACCACTGGTTGATCTTATCCAAGAAGGACAAAAACTTAACCCTTCAAACTTCTCCTGGGATTGGATGGATGGGTTCAAGATGCTATAGTACATCTAAGGCATTACATGTCCTGGATAAAGAAAAGTGAGGATGGAACAAATTTATGGCTGGGTCTGGAGAAAATTTCCCTCTACTATTTTGATCAATTTAATTGACCACTTAGTGCAAAATTATAGTGGGATTATTAGGAGAGGGTGCAGGTTATCTGGAAGATAGAGATGACTCCCAAATCATAACTGGCTCCCTTTGTGATTAAAAAGAAAAGTAGATGAACCAATAGGATGGCATGCTGGGGTCATTAGCAAGTTAACCCATTGTTCCTCTACTTACACAATGAGTCTGACTGCATTAAGGCATTGACCATTCTATATGGAAGCCATCTCAGAGACTCACAAATTTCAGGCACTGGTAGCACACCACTGTTCATAATGTGACATTCCCTTCCTTATCCATGTAACACAATGCTGGTCTGACCAACATCAGGTAGGAAAGAGATAAAAGATTAGCAGTTTTTTCTTTAATCAAGCAAAATGTTTATTTAAAAAATTACTTAAGACTTAAAGTAGTTTGAGTAATGACCAAGTTCAAAATATGGCCATGGAGACGGCTGCTGCAGGTGGAGAAACTTAGGAGCAAATTAGTCATCAGGAATATCTGGGTCAAGGAACCGGGAACCCAGTGTGTTATGTGTGGGCTTTTACATGGACATTTAATCAGGCAGAATGATGGTAAACATTTGAATGGAGAATAAGACAAGAAAAAGCTAGGCAACAAAGTTGTCAATGAGAGAGAATAAAAGGTCAAGAACCATTGCTAAAGTCTGAGGAAGGGTCACTGACTACATAGCCAACTGGCATAAGCCTCAAAGAGCACTGGACTGGGTTTTACATGAGAAATTAGCAGCAGTGGTGCAGAAAAGGCAATGGAAATCTAAAGCTATACCAATCCCGCTTGATACTTACATGCTAGTGCAGTGTAGGAGAATAACTTCCTTTTGAATATTCTACAGAGAAATTATATCCACCAGACCACAAGATTAAACAAAAAGGATGAGTCTGTAATAAAGTTTAATCAGGAATGAGAGTTTCAGAATTCACAGTGGACATATTTGGGAGCAAAGATAGGAAAAAAGAAAGCCCTGAAAGAGTATACTGGTAGAAGCACAGGACAGAATAAATTATGAAACACGTTATATTTTGGGCACTGGTCAAAGGTTTCAAGAATATGAAGAATGGTAAATAGGAAATTTTGTGTAATAAGATACATTTATTAAGATGGTGTGCATGCAAAGAGAGTGCTATAGAAGGTTGGTTGTAAAGAAAATAATAAAACACTATTATACTAAAATTGTTAAAACTTCTGTTATCAGTTAAAGAACAAAATTCCCAAAATGTTTTATATACCTTTAGTCGATTTATGAAGCCACTGCACTTATGGAGAAATATGATTAGAATACTCCAAGACAGATTTTCTCTAGTATTTGATAGTCATTAATCATACATATTATCATTACCGTCCCTATAGAGATACAGAATTTTTTTCTTTTAATTTATTTCTTTTTTTTTTTTTTTTAAGACGGAGTCTCACTCTGTTGCCCAGGCTGGAGTGCAGTGGTGCAGTCTCGGCTCACTGCAACTTCTGACTCCCTGGTTCAAGCGATTCTTCTGCCTCAGCCTCCTGAGTAGCTGGGATTACAGGCATGCACCACCATCCCCAGCTAATTTTTGTATTTTTAATACAGACAGGGTTTCACCATGTTGGCCAGGATAGTCTCAATCTCCTTACCTCGTGATCTGCCCACCTTGGCCTCCCAAAATGCTGGGATTACAGGTGTGAGACACAGTGCCCAGCCTTTTTTTTTTTTTTTTTGCTGTTTTTATAGGTCATCTTTTGACACAGGAAACAGATACTCTAATTCTATTATCATTAAAATTGTTGCTATGTAACACTTTTTATCTAGGGCAACTATAAAAATGTGAATACTTAATGTTGGGATTTTGTTATATGATTATCAATTTTGTACTCTGTCAAACAAATTATTTTGTACATTATAATATATTCAAGTTTTGAATTCCCAGAAATAATTTTGATAAAAAATATTTTAAGAGGGCAAGGCTCAGTGGCTCACAGCTGTAATCATAGCACTCTGGGAGGCCGTGACGGGTGGATCACTTGAACCCAGGAGTTTGAGACCAGCCTGGCCAACATGTTGAAACCCTGTCTCTACTAAAAATACAAAAATTAGCAGGGGATGGTGGCTTCTACTTGTAGTCCCAGCCATTCAGGAGGCTGAGGAGGAAGCATCACCTGAGCCCAGGGATGTCAAGGCTACAGTGAGCTATGATAGTGCCAGTGCCACTGCACCTCAGCCTGAGCAATAGAGTGAGACTGTGTCTAACAAAAAAAGTATTTTCAAATATGGCAGTTCCAAAGCATATTTGATTTCTTAAAATGTAGATCAAAAACAATTTAATGTCGTTCTTTATATATATTGGCTTTAATATGTTTTAATTTTTCCAGTTGAAAGGATTTTTCAGGATGAATAAAAAGGACTGAATGAACACTACATGTAAACAGTTTACATTGATTTTTTCCCAGTACACATTCTTCATATCACCATTGTAACAGGCAAGTGGATTGGCTGCTAGGGGAACATCATTGATGGCAGGTCCTTTTCTATGTAGTTCAGTAAATAATTGCCAGGGAACTTTTTGAATGAATTGACTTTTATGCTAGGTTAAGCTAGGGGTATGATTTTATTTTATTTTATTGTTTTTCAGAACTAGGGTCCATTTTAGATAGCTATTTTAGGGATAAGTGATTCACTCTGCCCCCACAGATCATTCTAAACTCAGAACTTCTCACTTCTAGCTAAATTAGTTTTGTGTATCCACGAATAGCTGGGGAAGTTGGATCATACCCTCTCCTGATAGAAGGGATAGTGAAAATACTGGATAAATTTCATAAAATATTTTTCCATAAAACTCTCTCCCATAATCCCAGTTTAAGTTACACTGAATGGACATAGATGTTTTAACTATGAGGTAAACATGAAGAATAAGGTTAGTAATTAAATTTCTTCCTTCACAGACATTATATATGAAAGATCCTGGCTATCCTCTCCATACCTTTAATGCCCCATCATTATAAAAAGGCAAAGGAAACTCGATGGATATGCTCTCTCTGACACACATTGTTAAATTTAATATGGATTCAATATTTAAATACAGCTGAATATTATATTATCCATAACTGAAAATAATTAACAACTTTCTCATAGTCACAATATAATAAAATATTTATGTATTTTGAAATATGCATGTTTTTATTTACATTCATGACAAAACATCCAAGCTGCTTTTATAAGGATCCTGATAGATTCTTTGTAGATTTAACTATTTTCACTAATTTAGAGCAGGAAAAGGGTGCTTACTACAACTCGTCAAAAAGAGACTTAAAAAAAAAAACATAAAAGAAGGTCTCAGAAAGGTAGGAAACATACAATTCCAGGAATTACAACCATATAACAATCTTTAACATTCTTTATAAAAACCTACCTTTTTTTTTAACTCATGACTAAAGGTACTCCATTCCTTAGTATTTCTACTGAAGTCAAAAGCCTGAGAAATAAATTAGTCTATACTGAGTCATCTTCCAACTCTATACACTGCATTCAGAATTCTATGATTGACAGCTTTACCAAAATCAATTTGAACAGAAGATATCTCAAGAAAATTGAGCCTGGATGAGTAATCTACACTCACACTATTTATTTTTATTATTTATTTCATATTGTTGTATTGCTATACTAAACACACACACACACACACATACAATAACACCTTTCTCCGTATTCTTTATATTCACTTCCAAAAATGCCCTGTCTACAAAACTGACCCAATTATAATTGCAAACAAATTCACGACATGTCAAAGAGAGGCAATCTAAAATAATGTCTAGTTAAAGCCTACAGAGGTATATGTCATGAGGCTTCTTTGATCTAAATTCAGTATCTTTAGGAAGTATTACTGACTTACAGAAGATTCGGTGTTAAAATTATTCCCCAAAATCACATGTAGTGGAAATGAAAATGAAAGACCAAACTTCTTGTCCAATCTTTCAGTCTGAAGCCTTCCAAGAACCTAATTTTCTAGTCTATTAGTCATAACTCATGAATTATTGTAGATCCTGACCCCAGGCCATCACTCTTTCTAAGCAAAGTAAAAAAGAAAAAGTAATGATTGAAGTTTTTGCCTAATCAGAGAATTTTCCTTTTGTCCTTAGAGACTTCCTACTAATGAGGCTATAATGTTTCAGTTGCCCTTATTGCTGTTGTCTGCACATTTGCAGAGCCATCTGTAATGTGGGCGAGAGGTTTTCTATTCCTTATTTAATTGATCTGAGGCACTCCTTTGGTTTCAGTTGGTGGTGAGGAAGTAGTAGGCATGCAAGGCACTTGAGAAATAGTAACTAATGCACCTTGTGTGTTGCTTCTGAGCTGGCTCAGCCCTCCCATGTGCCAAGTTTAATGATAGCACAAATGGTCTAGCGTTCCCACTTTAAAGCCAGATGAGTGAGATAAGGCTGGGTCCCTGTTGCCATCTTAAATCGTAGGGGCACCTGCTAGGCCAGAGATAGGCAAGCTATCACCCTCAAAGGTCAGCGATAAACCAGAATCTGTGTCTTAAACCATCTTCAAATCCTTCTGAATAAAACTCTTTAACTTTTCTGATCTGCTTTACAAATTCTAGATTTTCTCAAGTTTAAATGCATGTTATCTTGTAAATAATAATATGAGGAGCATGGTAGGAGGAGAAGAGGTAACTTTTCTCTATAGGAGGACCACATTATCACCAGTCAGATAGGACACAATGCAAATAATTTTTAAGGGATTTGGGAATTTGGAATTCTGCAAATACTTTTAATCTTCCTAAAAACAATATGACCATTTTAAAGCTTTCACCTTGAAGGCAACTATCAATCAAATTCAGCAACTCCTACAATCAGTCTCTACATACCATTTTCAGCAACAGCAGTTGCAATGTTCTTTCATTGTGGTCTCATAAAACTCCTAAGTGATGAAAATTTCAAATTTTATTTTGTTTGTTTTTTTATATTTAAGTATAGATTGCTTTAAAAACAATCTTCGAAAAGCATTTCTTCTCTTTTTTTATATTGATCTACCTTGGAGGTTGCTTAGTTTTCCAAAACAATATCAAAAGGAACATTACACTATGAGGCCACATGGAGTAACTTGATAAACACAGACTAACGCTGAGAGGCATGGACTAATTCTGTCTTGTCCGGAATATAAACGGAGAACTCAATTCCATTTACCCAATCTGAGCTTGATAACTTGATAACAAATTAAAATACCTCATATTTCCTGATGGTCTTTTTTCCTATAGCTCCTGTGAGGTATTAATTTTTGTATTACTTAGGATATTTGATTATCAACAAGTTCTAATTTCAGCTAACTTAATAAAAGGGAGGAAAGAAAAGTAAATGGGGGTTTATTTTAAGAATTGCATAGCTCAGAAAATAAAAATTATTATTGTAGGGTAAGATCTCAAGGATGACAGAAATCAGGGCAGCTTGACATCTATCACAGCAGCAGAAAATCTGGTGGCATCTCTCCAGGATGAAGCAGCAAACAGCTCAATTCCCACCACTTTCATCCCTATGTGTATCTGAAAGAGATTCCGAATTGGCTCCTGGCCTATCTACAAGGAGAGGGGGTGTTCCTGGATTAGCAGCCTACCAGAACCATCTGGTTCTGGAGTAAAGGTCATTCCCAAAGGAATGTTAATGGGGAAGATACTAAATAGTATAGGTTATTCCCATATACACTTGGGACCCTTTCTTATTTGGAGATTTTCTTTACCCGACTAGAAATTTCTTAAGGTGTAATTTTCAAATTAATTAGGGTCTCTATTATGTCCCCCAACAAAGAAATATTTGTGAGACAGGAAAGGTAAAAATTGGAGAAATGGAAAATAACACTAATTTTACCCTCTTTCTATTAAGTGTTATAAATAAACTGATTTAAGATTTTTCATGTGTAAGCCATTGTTCTTTAAATAAAATTTTTTATTTAAAGTCCTTTAAACCAGATCATTTATTCCTAATTACATGGCTAGTTGTAACTATTATTCCTATTAAGGATCTTGTCCAAAATTACATAGTTAGGTATTGGTTGAATTAAGATTAAAACCTCAATTTTGTCTGAACCAAGAGACTAGACTCTTTTTTTTTTCTTTTATTATTATTATTATTATTATACTTTAAGTTTTAGGGTACACGTGCACTCTTAATAACCAAGCAATGTGGCTTCATTAGATACAGCCAATTATATAAAATTCTTGAATCAGAGAAGTTTTAAATGCTCAAAAAGTCTAAATGCATTTTAAGAAATGCCATACATACATAAAAATTTGAGTTCCTCCAAGTTGTTCTGAGTAATAATAATGCTTATTACTTATGCAATGTTTAAATTCAAAGCTCCTAAGGCCAGAACTATTCTATAATCTATTAAAAGTGTGATTGTATTAGCTGAGGTCTTTCTATCCTTTTGCCATACTGTGTGGCACTTTCAATAGGAGAATATGTGGTGACAAGAGATGAACACTAGAAATACCCCAGATACTTTAAACTCCATATATCCCAAAAATAAATAATCATCCTCCTTCTCAAAGGTATTCGCCCACCTGAGATTACTAGTCTTTTTGGTTGAGTATAACTCCATTCATATTTCTAAGCCGAAAATCTTATAATTGTTAACTTTTTTCTCTTAAAATCTACTCTTCCAATAAGACACCAAATTCATTTAAGTATATCAGAAACATCTCCCAAATTTAAGCATTTATTTTGATCCATTCTCACTACCCTTTCTAGTTCAGGTTCTTAATGTCTTTCAACTACAACATCCTGGTTAATGTGCTTGTCAGCACCATATTTATTTAAATAGAAAAAAAACCGTATATACATTCTCACCATCATCAGATCTATCTTCCTAAAATTGTCCAATTAGGGTTTTCCGACTAAAAGATTTTTTTTTTTTTTGCCATTGTCTTCATTATAAAATCAAACACTGCTTTACAGTATAGTAGGTATGCAAACTGGCACACAAGTTGTCCTCAATTTACCTTTCAGATTGTATACCCAATTTAATCACCATACCTTTTCCAAAAGCTTTTGTTTCAGTAACACTGAAATTCTCATATGTCCTATATGGCAACTCAGAGTTATTTTCTATGGTTTTACAAAGAGGCATTTCTTCTGCTAGTGATATCCTTTCATTCTCTTCCTGCACATTCTTGTTCACTATTCAAAACACAGCAAAAATGTCACTTTCCTTGTAAAGGGCTTCCGGACTATCTGGCAGTGCTTATTCTGAGAATTCATATTGACTCTAACTGTCCCTGCAAACTCTGGAAAAAATAATCCAGAAAAATTAGTATGATAGTATCATTAGTATTGTTCTCGTAATCATTATTATTATATTGGATTACAGTGACTTATTATATGGCTATCTCCCTGAGCAGCTTCTGAGATTTTGAAGAGCAAGAACCCTATCTAATTCGTCCTGGCTATTCTCAGTGCCTAACATTGGGTCTGGCTTATATTTGTTGTTCAGTACATTTTTAATTGACTAGATTAATAATTGAATCTCCTGGCTGGGCGCGGTAGCTCACGCCTGTAATCCCAGCACTCTGGGAGGCCGAGGCGGGCAGATCACCTGAGGTCAGGAGTTCAAGTCCAGCCTGGCCATGATGAAACCCCATCTCTACTAAAAATACAAAATTTAGCTGGGCCTGGTGATGCCTGCCTGTATGTAATCCAGCTACTTGGGAGGCTGAGGCAGGAGAATCGCTTGAACCCGGGAGTCGGAAGTTGCAGTGAGCCGAGATCGCACCATTGCACTCCAGCCTGGGCAGCAAGAGCGAAACTCCATCTCAAAAAAAAATAAAAAATAATTTAAAAAAAAGACTGAATCTCCTAAACCCAAATTATGATGCATATCAACCACAAGTAATTCTGATTTGTAATTATACTCTCTAATACCCTTTAGAAATGTACATTTTTTTAATTAGAGGACATTAGGGAAATAGTTAAACTGCCCTTGGAGTTACCTAATTATTGTCTAGATTTATTTTACTTATATTAAGGAAATCTAAATTTTGTTATCCAATGTAAAGATGACCTTGGTTCACCCCCAGAAAATTAGCAATAAAGTGAAGGATTTTAAAGCAGCATGCTTGTTTTGAAATCTTGTCTTACTCATTAAGATAAAGGTGTTGCACTAACTATTTTTGTAAAAAATATCTTCAGCTGATCAAGTGTACTTTGATGTATGCTTAAACATTCATCTTACCAGAATAAAAGGAAACTTCTAATCAAAAAGAATCTTAGTAACGCTAGGCCTAGTGGGAGGTAGAATGTGCACTGAGTGAAGAAATAACAGGATTCTCAGCACTCTGAGACCCATCTAGATATGCCAGAAATGAAAGCCTTCAAATGTGATTTCAAAATGTTCCATTTCTTTTTCAAAAATGTTTACATGTTGCGAGTTTAAGAAATATTAACTTGATACCTCAAAAATCCTAATGGAGACAAATGGGTAATAAGTTTTTGATCTCTTTCAATTTCTTCAAGTCTAAAATTTCTAAGGGACAAGTAAAAGCAAAGCCAAACACATTATTGGGTCCTTGAAAAGCTTGTTTCTGTTCTTTGTATAAACTCAATGGTGTAGACATTTGCCTTAGTCTGTTTCATGTTGTTATAACAGAATACAACAGAATGAGTAATTTATAAAGAGCAGGGATTTATGTATCACAGTTGTGGAAGCTGGGAAGTCGAAGAGCATAGTACTGGCATCTTGTTAGGGCCTTCATGCTGCATCACCCCAAAGAAAAAGGCAGAAGGGCAAAAGAGCACACTCTAGAGAGGGAGAAGACTGAACTCATTCTTTCATCAAGAAACTACTTCCAAGATAACTAAACCACTCCTGCAATCATGGCATTAATTCATTCATGAAAGCAGAATTTTCATGACCTATTCACCTCTTGAATGTTCCACCTCTCAACACTGTTGCATTGGGAATTAAGCTTTTAACACATGACCTTTGGGGGACACATTCAAACTATAAAAATGTTCATGATGGGACACATTTAAATATTAATGGTTAACAGTTGTTTCTGAGCCACCAGCGTTATGTGAGACATTTCTGTGGTACAAGGCAGTGAGTGCACACATTAACTCATTCAGCAAATATTTACAGATATTATTCTAGGGTATAAGGGTACTGTGGAATAAACAAAGCCTTTCCCCTTAAGAAGCTTACCTGATACTGGGGTAGAAAGACACATAAACACAAAAAATGGAGTATAGTATAATGACTGGTAGTGACAGATGGATAGTACATATTTTAAAGTGGTCAGAGATAGGCCATTTGACAAAGTGTCATTTTATCCCAACAGGAATGTGCCACAAGGAAAGGCCTTGAGAAGATTATAGGAAAGGAAGGGGACAGAGAATTTGTAAATGTCTGGGAGTTGGGAAAAGCCTATTATATTCTAAGAATGGAAAGAAAGTAAGTGATGGTATTTGGAGGTGGGGCCTTTGGTAGGTCACAAGATATAGATGAGGTCATGAAAGTGGGGTCCCCATGATGGGATAGGTCCTTATAAGAAAAGAATGAGACCAGAACTCTCTCTCTCTCTCTACCATGTGAAGGTACAGCGAGAAGGCAGCCTCTGTACGCCAGAAAGCAGGCCCTCCCCAGACACCAAATCTGGCCGCACCTTGATGCTGGACTCCCCAGCCTGCAGAATTGTGAAAAATAAATGTCTTTTGTTTAAGCCATCCAGTCTATGGTATTTTGTTATAGCCTCCAGGGCCGACTACGTCAATGAGCCATCACTGGTGCAGAAAAAAAAGAGGAGTATATGGTACCCTAAGAGTCAAGGGAAGAGAATAATTCAAAGAGAGGATTATCAATGGTGTCCAATACTGTTCAGAGAGAAAGCTGAAACCTGAGAGAGAACTGACCATGTGTGTGGCCAGAGGAAGGTCATTGTTGATGATTCTTTCAGAAGAGTTATGGAGAGTGAAGATGGTCAGCATGTGTTGAGGACAGAATGGAAGAAAGGACAAGAAATAGCACAAGTCCAGCCACACTTTGTGGGGTTGCTACAGAGTTGAACAGATCAATGGAGCTAGAAAATGTGGGATCAAGGGAAGCTGTGGTTTGTTTGTTGCTTTGGTTTGTTTTTAAGTTGAGAAATTACAAGATGTGTCTGTGAGTTGAAAAAAAAAGCATTCCAGTAGAGCGGGAAAAGTGTATGGTGGAGATGAGAGGGAATAATTTTGGCAGCAAAATCCTTGTGATGCAAATGGAACTGATTCCCTGCACAATATATTGTGATAGGAGGGAAGGCAAATTTTATGGAAACACATGAGTGTGTTATTAGATTTGCTGATGGGAAGGTGAAGTAATTTTAATCTGATGACTTCTGTTATTTGGTTATTCCTGTATGATAAAATTGCAAAGTCTTTTCCTAATACATTTTCTGAAATATTTGCTTTAAAACTTTATAGAGAAAGTACATTTCCATTGTAGATTTTATATGCTCATGGTGCTTATCATGAGTCTTGTGGGTTTTATTCCTTGTTTTTAAACTTACGAGATTTTTTGGCAGAGTAATATAAAGGCTGAAGAGTCAAGTAAGAATATATAAAATAAAATTAAAGAAAATAAGCAATTATTTTTAAAACCCCAAATGAGTGTTAAAGCTTCGGGGATGTTACAAGCCACTTGATATAAATTTAAAAACAGAAAAAGAAAAAATATGAGGTTAACGTTATTTCTCTTTCACTTTTCCTATCTCAGTTTTCTTTTCCCCCTACATGTATTCATTATTCTGTTCACATGCCTTTTTTTTGTTCTATCAATGTCCTTTGAATCTGTAGATTTCAGAAGCCCATGTAGAGATAATTCCAAAAATAAATTACTAAGGATTTATCATAATTGCTTGGGTCTGATTTGCTGTCAGATGTCCAGATTTATTTTTTTCAGCATTTAAATCAGTTTTGAAAGGTGAAAATCTAGTTACCTATTCTAAAACAGGACATAGGAAAGGTAGAAGACATTTCTCAGCTTCTCCATTGAAAGATGCCTTGTCTCTCTTAAATAACTCTAAATAATCATTATTATCCTAGAATTTTAGGCAGACCATATAGATACATAGCCCTATGTTACAAGTTAGAATAGTGGTTACCATTGTGGGTAGAGGTGAATAGTGCTAGATGGGCCATGGAGAGGCTCTGGGGTGCTGGTGACTTTCTAGTTCTTGTCCAGGCTATTCTGTCTGGTTTATGCTCCAGTGCAGTCCGTTGGACTCTTTAAGGGCCAAATCTGCCTTTAGCCTTCCTCTCATCTTTGTGCTACAATCCAGCACATAGATTTCAGAGGAGTTCTGCCACATGTCACATGTTTGACCTGAAATTCACTGTAGTCTTTCCCTTACATTTAGAGATTATCTTGAAAGGAAGAGCAGACAGGTTAAGACAACATAAGAGACAGGCACTGATTGCTCAATTGTCCCCTTCCTGCATTTTGACACATTATTTGTGAAGCAAATGCATCTTAAAGATGTTTTCTGTTAGAGACATTTTTCCCAGAAGACTCATTAGTCCTTCAGGCAAACAGCTCCATGATGGGTAACTTAGGGTGGAGAGAGAGTGAAGGCTTTCAAGTCATTCCCTTTAAATCCCACAGCACTGTTGATCTGTTGTTTTTATTATTTGATAAAAAGTCACAAGGTCATCTTTTGCCTTTCAGGTCAAGACAATATGACTCAGATTCTTGTGATTTTCATCAATTAAAGATTACAGATGTGAATTCTGAGGAACTCCATATAACTCGGACTTTTCTTCTACCAGTTTTTATTGTTTTTTCTTCCTTTTGTACAGTTTATAGAATACTAGCCTATAGAAAAACTTAGTGTGATATGACTTTATCCGAGGCAAAATAAATAAAAAATGACTCATTTTATGGTCACTGCAGGTATAAAAGATATGAAAAACATATCATCCTATTTGAGGATAATTATGTTTTTATCAGTTTAATAAACTTGTTAGTTTGAAATATATTTCTTGTCAAGAAAAAAAATGAGACATTCTTTTCTAATTTGTTTTAAATGTTGTGCCTTCCTGAAACTTAGGGTGACATTGCAAAGTACACATGACAAAATTCAGTCTGAAAATGTTATAAAAAAATTATCTTGTGGGATAATGCTATGTTTCACCTGAAGGCTTATCTTCTGTCATGGCAATGATGATGACATTGCACCATTTAAAATGCATCTAAATTGAGATGATAAAACATGGCAAAATATTGATTCCACAGAGAATTGCAGTAATTGCTCTGACCCTAAAGGTAACACGTTAGGAACACCAGGAAAGCCACAGAGCAGGGATAGTGCCTCCAAGCAGAAGCTACCCTTTTCATTAAAATATTGCCATTTCTTTCTATGCCCTTTACTGTAATCATTTATGGCAATAGTTTAATTTCACTTTTATAGTTCTAAATAATGTAAATCATCACAAGCCACACTTAACATGAAGAATGTGAAGTATAATTAGTCACTGATTTATTGCTTCAGTGAGTGTCCAAGTGAGGAAAATAACCTTGAGATATTCATAATAGATAGGACTAATGTCTTGAAGTTACTGGGATTGGGAACTAAAAAGTGAAACAAAAGCCTTGACTTGAATTTCTTGTTTTATTCCACAGGACCTATTTTTCTATGGTCAAAGTGTTTGAGGATTATCCAGAGACCAGATTTATGTATGCGTCTTTACAGAAAATTACTAAAAGTTTCCAAATTTTGGTAACAAGGGAAAACATACCATTAGCAGATTGATTGCTTTATTTATTCTTACACATTTTTCTCACAGGACTATCTTCATCTGCACAACATATGTGCACATGTGCCTCATTCTTTTAAATAATCCAGTTTATCAACCTAATCGATCAGTCTACCATGTTATGCAAATAACCTCTTTCATATTGTTTTAATTCAGAATATAGATGTAGTATTCAAAAAGTATATTTTTACCCTAAACATTTCTTTAATCCCAGCTAGTTTTTGATACTTCACACTTTTCTTATCCTCAGATCTAGAGCTATTTGCACCTCTCCTACACATCTGCACACATATACTTGCATATTTATCATCTACCCAGAATCTAGAACACCTCAATGTTAGGTAGAAAATACATAAGCAACTCTACAATAACACTCTGCACTCAACACTAAGACATCTTCATTGCCTCTCCAAATCAGACCCATTTATCTGTGCTCTGAAAATTCAACTTCTTTGTTTCCTGTTAAGTGACTAAGTTTTGGGATTATTTATTAAGATCTCAGTTTTTCCAGGACTCAAATTCTAATTTCCTCTTGTCAAGTTCCACCCTGGACCAGCCTCCTTTCACCAATATCCCCATCCCTAATCCCCTCCCATCCTTTGCCCTTAGTTCAAAAGTGACACAAGTTACTCACATTTATTGGCCTAAATTTGTTACATGGCCCACCTAATTGCAAGGGAGCTGGGAAGTATGGTTTTCCATGTATACAAGGTGGAATATTAAAGGAGTTTTGGTGAACATATAGCACTGTTTCCTTCATATAAAAGAAACTTAAAAAAATAAATAACATCTATCAACAACTTTAATTGAGACTTTAATCACATAGGAACAGAATATTTCTGAATGCCAAAAAAGCACTGTGCAGATTTCAGACATTGCCTAGACACTTTGTAATACATCATTTTCCTGTGGCCCAATGACAAATGTTTAATATCACCTTTGTAGTTATAAAGAATATAAATTAATAAGGACAGAATAACAGTGAGACTCCTGAACATTTTAAAACTTGTGTCATTTGAAACAATTCATGTTTATTCATCCCAAATTGCCTAGCCTGGGGGTGATTTATTAATTAATATGCTAATTAAACATAACATGTTTTTAATTTGCAGTGGGTAGAAGATAGAAAAGATTTGGAATAAGGCCAGGGTTTGAATACCAGGTACTACTAGTTATAATTAATCTGTCTGGTCCACAGTTTCCTTTATCACAAAATGAAAACAATTTCAGAATTATTGAAGAATAAAGGGATCAGTGTATATGAACTTTCCACTCCAGCGCCTGACATACTCCACATGGGTTAGTTCCTTTTCCTCCAACTTCTGAAGACTTCTTTATGTTGAGTTCCTGATTACTGGTCGAATCTTCCAAATATCATTTGTTTCTGAATTCCTTATTGCTATTCTCTGCTGGCCTGTTAGATTAAGTGTCCAGTGTTGGACCTTTCTGATACAAAATTTTGTATGCAACTGTATTACTATCTATGACTTGCTTGGCCAGATTTCCTCCTGGCACGTGCTGCAGTGTCTGTGCTCTGTGTGTGTCTCAGCCCTGGAGCAGATTCCACAATCTGGCCCTCCCAGCCTGCTCTGCTGGGCCACAGTTAACGTGCCATCTTTTCCTCTCCAGAATTGTACAGAAAATATTTACACAACCCTTTTTATACCTGTAAGTTTCTTTAAATATTCAATGGTTTTGAATTTGCTACTTGCCACAGAAAAAAACAAAGAAACAAACACAAGTCTTATTTACTGTTTCATAAACTCTCCAAAGGTTGTGCATATATATAAACCCTAATACTTCCCAGTACCGTTTATGAGGTTTGAAAAACTTCCTATTTTTTTCAAAGTAGTAGAGATGGTAAAACCACTGGTGGAAATATATCTCCTAATAATATAAGCCTTGTTTTCCAAGGGAATTCAATTCGCAGATCATGTTATTCTAATTAAAGAAAGTATAACTATACAAATGATAAATACTCTACTTGCAAATAATTCCTACTCCAGTTAGTCGGACTTCCCAGGGAAAGAAAAAATAAACACAATGAACAAAAAAATTTAAACATACAGATAAGAACACACACTGTTTTGTGAAATATTAAAGATAACTTGGTGTATGTAAATTGGTTGTTAACATGCAAACTTTTCTAAAAACTTTTTTCTCTAGGATATTTTTATTTGAAGCTTTTAGGTTCCTAGGTTAAAATCTTTAGTACTCATATTTTTCTGCGTGGGGAATAGGAGTTTACTCCTATGGGGTCAGCAGAAAATATTGGCAATATTTTAATGATGTTAAAATATTTACCTGACAAGAATGTAAAATATTTTTGGTTTAATCATCCCTCTTCCCCTGGGGTTCGCAAAAGGAGCCCTGTACATAGGCTGAATGGGAATTAAAGTATACTTTATGATAATTTGGGTCCACTAAAATCAAGGTAAGGCAGGACTCACTGGCAAAAGCTGAACTGGAATGTGTGGTTTTGTGGCTTTGCCTTGAACTCTAGTGCAGTCTCATATTTCTACCTTGAATCTAAATCTTGGCACTAGCAAATCAAGCCTCCCTGTGAGGAAAGGTAAGCTATGGCCTAACCTCAGAGCAGGCCCCAACTAACCTATTTAGTAACTGATGAAAGAAAAGATGCCCTGGATAGCCGTGCATATAGGCAGTGTGGGCCCCAGGCGAGAGAGGGGAAGTCTGAACTTTCTCCTTTACTACAGTCTACTTACTGGTAAAATGTGGCAAAATTAAGCAGTCATAGATTCTGACCAGTTAGATAAAACAACAAGCAGGGCAGAATGGGGAATGAGAGTGGGCATGTTTCTTCTCAACTTCTATGGTGGTGAAGAGAGGGGACTTGGTCACTTTACATAGCCCTCCTACATGTGTCCATTACCCCTTCCAGAGAAAACTACTCAGAAGCCCATCATTGCAAAAGTAAGCTTTATGCTATGAATTTCACCCAACTGGGTCTACAGACATATTCACTTTGTGGGGTTGATTTGGAAGAAAAATAGTTAAGCAATAATGCCACTTAAAGCACATTAGCCACTTTAATCTTATGTGTATACTACAATCACTTTTGTACTTTTTAACCAATGGAATTCTTTCTACCAAATAATTGTATGATCTTGTAAAATAATCCTTGTACTAAAATTTCTTATTATATTTGTGTGTATGTGCTTCCCTGTGCAAAGCAGAAATTCCCCCATATGTCATTTTCCTAGCATTAAGTTATTTAAGGATTCCAGATACATTCTATGTAGTCTTATATTGAAATGTTGCTGACCCTTGCTTAGGGATATTACTGATTTTATGTTAATATTTCCTTTACATCGTTTATATTAAAGTCCACTCACAATTGAAAACTATTTTTGAATTACGGTTTTGCTCCTAACTGTAAACCTTGATATTTTTCTTCTAGAAAGTTTTATTTTATTTAAAACAATGAAAACTATTATAGAGGGAGAAAGAAACGGCAATAAGATAATAGGCACACATGTATCCACCATCAAGATTAAATAGATGTTAATATATTTGATTTTTTAAACTTTATTAAAAAGAAAATGAAAATGATAGATGTAACTAAAGTTCCCCTGCCATTTTTCTCATTTTTATTTTCATGGAGGTAAAAAAGACCCCATGGTTGACACATTCATTTACATTTTTATGTTAGAACTTGTATTACACATTTATATTTCATTATAATATCATTCTTAAATGCATGTTTTGAAACAATATATACTTACTCACTGTATGTATTCTTATTTGACCTTGGAATTATAAATGTTTTCCTAGTTATACACATATCACTTATTTATTTGCAGTACTTTGTAGTTTTATATTATATAAATGAATAATTTTATCCATTTGTATACCAAAGGAAAGTTAGATCATTTTTATGGTTTTCTATTTAAAAGGAGGCTGCAATAATTATTTTATTTGTTTCCTTGTTCACAGGAAATACACAAAGTTGATTTGCTGAATCAAAGGATATGAGCATAATCAATTTTTCTTTAGTTAATTAATTTTCTTTAATTAATTAATTAATTAAATTAATTTCCAAAGTGTAACAATTCAACTCGTCAGCAAAGCTATAAAAGGTCCCATTTCTTTACATTGTCACCAAATAACACCAAGAGTTCTTAGATGTTAATTTTTGTCAATATGATAGATGTGAAATGGTATCCAAGTGTCTTAATTTACATTTCCCTCTCTTAGTAAGAATAACTATGTTTAGTTATTTTGCCCATTTTTCTGATGCTGCATCCTTCCTTTCTTATTAATTTGCAGAAATTCTTTCTCTAATTTCTTTGTTTCCCTGACTAAGGAATATTTCCCTACATTGATGTAATTAAGATATTCTCATGCTTGCTTTCAAAGTATTTTCTGGTGTTCATTTTGATGTCTTTTCTTTATCTGGAATACGTTATGTAATTAAGATATTCTCATGCTTGCTTTCAAAGTATTTTCTGGTGTTCATTTTGATGTCTTTTCTTTATCTGGAATATGTTATCAAGAACTCTGGAAATTTGCTGCCAATAGTTTTTTAAATATTACTGGTCTCTAATTTTCCATGGCATCCCTTTTTGGAATTTTAGTCGAAATTCCCATATCTTTAGCTTCTCACTTTATTCACCTTTTTCCTTAATTTCTACATCATAATTTTGAACTTTTTATATTTGTGCATTTCAGGTAATTTCCTTAGTTTGTCTTCTAGTTTATTCATTGTCTTTCTTAATGTTTAACTAGTTTAATGTATATATATTATTTCAATAATTATATTTTTTGCTTCTAAGAGTTTTAGTAGTATGTAAAAAAACTGACTCATATTTTTTTATTTTCTCATTTTATCTCCTGATTATGTAAATATATTATTCTATGACTTTGATGTTTTTTGGTATACTTCTTTTGTATTCCTTAGCACATTCTTTTATTCTGCAATATTTGAGGATTACTACTCTCTCTGTTTCTCACTTACGGTATTGTTTTCCCCCACAAACTTCCACTCTGAGCTGTTCTCCAGGAGGCTTTTTCAGTAGTTATCCTGTGCCCTGAGCAATTTTGTGTTTGATTCTGCCAGGCACTTCAAGGCTAGTGGTCCAGGATTCAGTTTTATGATTTTTCCTGAGTTTGGAGGTTTTGGAACTACTACACATAGGGTCATTTAAAAAACAATATGTTTGTAAAGTATAGAGCATGGATATGAATTAGAATAGATTTTTTCTTTTGCTTTTCATCAGGTCTTATGAGAGGCCAACAAGCAAATTTCCTATATCGCTTATTTGCACTATTTTTCACTTATTAACAGCTCTTTAAATTTCTCCATATTTTGTTCAGGCTGCTCAGATCCAACTCTCTGAATTTCACAGGTCAAGGCCTTACCTCCTGACACCACATGACCAAGCTAACAGGTTAATGTGGTAACAAACGCCGACAACCCACCCTCCCCTGCTCCCCTCCGATCATCAACTGTTTTCACAAACATTGCCTAAAGAGCTCTTGTCCTTGTTTTCAATTCCTTCTGCATTTCCTGCACCTGGTGTTTTATTTATTTACTTCATTCTAATCTCAGCTTTCAATGTGTAAACATGTGGTATATGATTTTCTTAAATGTTAGTGCTTGGAAAGCCTGCAATTTACCATATTCTTAAAATATGAAGTCAAATGACTCATTATTTAACTACTTTTAGTGAAGAATATTAACATGTGGAAGGGATACTTATTCTGATAAAGAAAAACAAAAGATTAAAAAACAGAATCTATTATTTTGCAACTTAAGCAAAGTAACAGTTATATTCTCTCAGGTCCTTAAAGTAGAAAGAAGCCTCTAGGCAAACTTGATTATGGAAAAAAAAAGTCAATAGCAGCATACAACATTAAAATTTGCTTCTTGAATGCAGAGAAAATCTTACATAGAGAGAATTATCTTAATCGATACATTCAATATTATTTAAAAGATAAGATCATAAAGCAGTGAATTGGTTTTTATTTTGAAGAACAAAAACAGGAAAAAAATACCACGCTTTAAAACAATGTATTGGCTCAGTACCTTGGTCAAATTAGTCTCCTTGTGCCTTAGTGTCCTCAATTTTAAATTCAGGATGAGGATTGCATGTTCTTGGTAGGCTTTCACTTTAAAATAAGAAGTCTCAGCAACAGAACTTTCAACTACAGACCTTGAATGACTTCATGACTGCCTACCTATGTTTTGAGGATTGAAGTTTTTTAACTAACACAACTAGAACAGTGTTTGACACATAGTAAGCACAAAAGAATACTTTTTTTAAACAAAAAAACCATGAGATCTTTGGAGGAAGAAAAAGGAGAGCTTTATTTCCTATAAACGGTTACAACCTGTAGGTTGAAAAATGAAGCCTCTGGCCAAAACCTAAAGCAGAGGCTTTTGAGACAAAAGGAGGAAGCCTAGGATTTACACCCAATGGAGTTAGCTATACATACCTATTCAGCAGATTATGAGAGAATCTTTGAATATTTGAGAGAGAAACCAAACATATGATGAGTGTATAAACCTTCATGATTTCTACGTCCCATATTTATTTTAGAGTACAAATTTAACATTAAAATAAAGTGAAACTTGGCTCTTTGTGTCAAAAGGTGAATAACAGGACACAAAGGCATCTTGCACGCAGCCTCCGTGGACTGGCCAGAACCAGCCTGTGCTTGGCGGTCAGCTATCAGGGTGGAATGCCTTGTGAGGCTTGTCAGCTGTCACAGCAAAACTGTGAGAAGGGAGGGGAGGTCGGCCCCGGCATCAGGTGGTGTGTGGAGAAATCTTCCAGACACTGTTTTTCAGGAACTAGTTTCTGTTTAATAGTAGAAAACACAGTCCTGAAATGGTTGTTGAGGTAGGGGAGTGTTGAGATGGGACTGACCTCTTACCTTATCAAAGCTGGGAAATTTCATTTTTCTAGGTTTTGGGGGGGTCTTTTCTGCCACAAAGAGTCCTTTAATTCTGTCTGGGGGGCTTAGGACTCTATTTTTATTTCACATTTGCTATTGTTGTTATTATTATCTATTTTGGTTATCTATAGCTGCAGAAGAAACAACACTAAGCTTATTTCCATTAAACGAGAAACACCTATTTCGATAAATATGTTTAGCGAAACAATAACTATTTGTTATACCTATGGATTCTTGAGGTCAGGAATCCATACAGAACATTACCGATATGGCTCGTCTCTGCTTTTCTGCATCAGAGGCTTCGCTTTAAAAAGACTCAGCATCTGGCTTTGACTAGAAAGTTTAGAGTCTGCAATTATTCACGGGTTTCTTCAATTACATAACTGGAATATGGGGATCACTTAAAGGCTGAAAGAGCTGGATCTGCCAATGAGAGCAAATACATAAGGCCTTTTCATGAGTTTCACAGCACGGCGACTGGGTTCTGTGAGGCAGCATCCCAAAAAGAGCTTCTGCAGACTGAGCCCTCCAAGATGCCAAAGTGGAAGCAAGGCTTCCTCTGACCTGGTCAATTCAACCATGGTCAAGGATTGTCCTTTCTTTTGATAGGCAAGGCTTTTTATCTTTCTAATCTTGATCATTGTGTATTGATTTCATAGTTTAACTCTTCAACTTACTTAAAAGTTATAGTGTATGCGGTAAGATCCTGCTGCTCTCCCATGTTATCCCCATGTGTCAATGCATTCCAGACCATTATAATTATAACAGATATTTATACTTTTTATCTATTTATTTATTTTTTTGAGACGGAGTCTTCACTGTGTCGCCCAGGCTGGGGAGCAGTGGCGCGATCTCGGCTCACTGCAAACTCCACCCCCAGGGTTCACGCCATTCTCCTGCCTCAGCCTCCCAAGTAGCTGGGACTACAGGGGACCGCCACCAGACCCCGCTAATTTTTTGTATTTTTTTAGTAGAGACGATGTTTCACCATGTTAGCCAGGATGGTCTCCATCTCCTGACCTCGTGATCTGCCTGCCTTGGCCTCCCAAAGTGCTGGTATTACAGGCGTGAGCCACCGCGCCCGGCCCCTAACATTTCTACTTTTAAAAGCTCTCACTTGTGGGTTATATTAAGAACAAAATTTTTGAAGAATTTTTTCATTCATATTTTGAAAAATAAATTTTTCACTTCTTCCAGAGTATAATCTCTAAAACTGCTACTGCAATTACTTTCTAGATCTCACCATTGCATTTTCCTGTCTCCTATAAATACAGAGCACAATTAGAACAAAGTGAATTTTTGTCAGAAGAGAATGCTTTTTCCTGCACTCTATCTAAAATATCTTTCTCATTAGGCAAAGCCAATGGTTCATGGTGACTTCCTGGGACACATGGCTATCCTCACATTGACTGTAGGTTTCTAGTTAACCTGTTTGTGCAGTCTTTGCAGAAGATTCATGTACTTGACATTTACTGAGCTCCTAACATGGGCCAGGCATAATCCAAGTGGAAAATACAGATAGAAAAATGTAAGACATAACAATAAGTATATGATTTCATGATAAATATTAAATATTAAAATGTGATTTAACGTATTTAACAAATATTGCTTGAACACTATTTGCTACTCAGCAGGCTGGGTAATTATATTCTGCAAGAAGTGTTCCTGTTTATATAGGTAGCATCAAATTTTCTTCAGTTTAATTATGATACATTTCCTTTCTAATTTGATAGATAATTATTGATTGCTTGCTTCACATTTAATAATTTATGTGCTCTTTTACTTAAACACATAGTAAGTCAAAAAGCAAGCTTAAAATCCAGCAGGAACACTTTATAAATTGAGGGATGAGTCATAAAGAACTCAGACCTTTGTTATTTCAAATAAGAGGCTATGTCACAAGGATATCATAGAAAGACTTGAAGAAAAATAATTGAAAATCTGTATGTGTAAAACTTTCTTCATTAAGTCTTCACAATAAAATTTTGCAATAGTATTTTCATTCATTTAATTTTGAGATTGTTAGTAAAGTATTCACCCACATAATAAAACGTTGAAGCAAGAGTATGCTGTCTTCATAAATGGACAGACAAAAGGAGTAGTGTAGAAAGTCCACAGCACTAATAAATAGAACTGATTATATATAAACATATAGAATATTATACAGCAGATGTGTCACATCACTGGAGATTTCAGTGGTTAATTAGAAAATAATATAGGAAACATTTTCTATTTGGAAAAAAATAAGGTTGGGTCCCTGCCACATATGTCGCAAAATAAATTTCAGATGTATTAAAATTTCAAATGTCATAAAATTATGCCATATATGTACTAGAAGATAATAAGGACTATCTTGAAATAAAATCATTAATTTGGCCATCATTTTTGAAAGTCTATTACTTGATAGGGAGAAAGCCAAGTGCTGGCAATTGAAGGCCTACCTAGGTTTAATACTAGATGCAAAATAATAGATAAACATTATACATTTATCACATCAAATTTAGTAACAGTCTCCATAAATAAATGTAAATAGCAAACTGGGAAAATCTGCAAATTAATAAACAGAATGAATGCCTACAGCTTAAAATATGCATTTCCCTGCTAATAAATAAGAACTTGAATACCACAATATTAATGCTTTTAATTGGATAATTTATATCCATTTAATATTCTGCACTTTTCACAGCCTTGTATAGTATTATTGTAGATTAACCCACCCAAGTAATAGATGCTTATTGTAGAATGATGTTCTTAGTAAGTTGATTTCTTTATATCTGAATAGATATGGTTTCTTAGAAAACTTAAAATATTATTGCTAATTTCCAGAATATTTTAATTACTTTATTATAAATTAAATGATTATATGCTATGCCAACTGGAATATTATATCAACTTAGTTTCTATGAAGAATTTTAAAAAATAATCCAATCAAGTAATTTGCATACTCTTAAGTACCATAGGGGTTCAGTATCAACTGTGGAGAAGGGTAGAACCAGGACAATGGAAGGGGAAAGATAGCGAAAGATTGGCTGTGACACCTTTGCTTCTAACAAAGCAGTTCTGCTTTATGTGTTTAACATGTAAGGTGTCCTTATAATACTTCATGTAGAGAGAGGCCTCCAATACTATGAGTAGTAGCAATGGCAGTAGTAGCAGCAGTAGTAATAAATACGCCTACTGTGAAAGGCTAAAAAATGCTCCCTTCCCCCAATATCATGCCTTAATCTCTGAAATTTGTAAATGTTACCTCATCTGGAAAATGTTTCTTTGAAGATGTGATTAAGTAAAGGATACTGAGATGGGGAGATTATCCTGGTAGACCCTACATGCCATCACATGTATCCTTATAAAAAAGAGAGTTAGAAGGAGGCTTGATTTAGGGAAGGTCATGTGAAGATGGAGCAGAGAGATTTAGAGATGCTGATCTTGAAGACTGGAGTGATGCAGGCAAAAGACAAGGAGTGCCAACAACCACCATAAGCTGGAAGAGGCCTAGAACAGATTCCCCACTCCCAGAGGTCGTGCCACCTGCTGACACCTTGATTTTGGCCTAGAGACACTGATTTGGGAATTCTGGTCTTCAGAACTATAAATCATACATTTCTGTTCTTTTAAACCAAAGTGATTTTAGTAATTTGTTACAGCGGCCTCAGGAAACTAATACAACATTAACCACCAGTTTACTCCAACCATGCTCAATTTTAAAATGGGAAATTGAAATTCAATAAAATTAGAGAATCAGTCAGGGGCATAAAATCAACTAATTAGTATTAAAATTGCAGTGTATTTCAAGTCTTGAGTCTTTGGAGTTGTAGTCTAATATATTTTTTTTTATTTTGCTGTGATTTTGTATCTATACATGCATACATAAAATAAATTGAATAATTTATTATATATAAAATAAATTGAATATATATTTAATATATAAAATAAATTGAATATATATTTAATATATAAAATAAATTGAATATATATTTTCTATATATAAATTGAATGTATATATTAATATATAACATATATTGAATATATGTATTTCAATAGCTTTTGGGGTACAAGTGGTTTTTGTTTACATGGATGAGGTATATGACAATGAATTCTGAGATTTTAATGCATCTGTAATCTTTACATTGTACTCATTACATTGCGAATTATTATTAGAAATGATATTAGTAAGTAATATCATTAGTAAACTCTGCTGAAATGATTAAAGGTTTCTTTTCACCAAACAAGTAAATTTTTGCCTATTTCTTTTTGAAAGGAAATTATTATTTTTCCCACCTTTTTTCTTTAACTTACTCAAATATATAAATTGAATAGGCACTGGTGACTTAAATATAAGGAAACTAACAGAGCTTTGAGTTCATGGAACTTGCAGTTGCAACGGAGTAATTGACAATTAAACCTTTAAATGACAAAGTTATTTGCTGTGAATACAGAACTGCAGGAGATCACTACTGGAGTACATATTAACTGTACCTGAGAAAGGGCCCCAGATATGGTGACAGAACTATGAAAGAGAGAGAGAGAGAGAAACAAAGAGAGAGAAAAACAAAGAGAGAGAGAGACAGAGAGTTTTCTAACCACTTATGAAAATTCAAGGAAGGTTTCTCAGAGTAGTGACTTAAGCTGACACTGGAAAGATTAAACAAAGCAATGGGACTATGGAGAGAGAAGCATGTTTGTAGAACTTATCTGTAAGCAGCAAGGTCATGAATTCAAGAGCTGGCTATCAATATTGAAGCAGAATAGGGCTAACTGTGTACACAGTGGACACAGAAAAGAAGACAGCAGGGCTTTGTATTTTGTGAGCCAATTAAACTAGTTACAGTTTTTTCACAAGATATGTGTTGCAGGTCTGGGCTGCAGGCCAAAATTAGCCTGAACCCAGGCACAGGAAATGGTCAGATCCTTTTAGAAATTAACAGAAGAGGCCTGGTGCAGTGGTTCACACCTGTAATCCCAGCATTTGGGAGGCCGAGGCGGGCAGATCACATGAGGCCAGGAGTTCAAGAGCAGCCTGGGCAACATGGCGAAACCCTGTCTCTACTAAAAATACAAAAAGTAGTCGGGCATGGTGGTGCACCTGTAATCCCAACTACTCGGAAGCTGAGGCAGGAGAATCCTTTGAACCTAGGAGGCAGAGGTTGCAGTGAGCCGAGATAGTGCCACTGCACTCCAGCCTGGGCAACAGAGCAAGACTCCATCTCAAGAAAAAAAAAGAAAGAAAGAAAAAGAAAGAAAGAAAGAGAGAGAGAGAGAGGGAGACAAAGAAAGAAAAGAAAAGAAAGAAAGAAAGAAAGAAAGAAAGAAAGAAAGAAAGAAAGAAAGAAAGAAAGAAATGAAAGAAAGGAAAGAGAAAGAAAGAAAGAAAGACTAATTCAGTTCTTACAACAGATGGCAACTGCAAATGAAAGAAGAATATTATTTGTAGGTTAGAAATTACTGTGCTTACATTGTCTTTTTCTCTTTTCTCTCTCTCTTTTTTTTTCTTTTGCTGAAGACCAGGTTTCTGGCAGACCAAAAAATGTTGATGACCCCCCTCTCACCACTCACCACAGAGATAGTGCCTTCTATAAATTCAGCATTTTTGTAAAATAAAAAAGTGATAGTAACACGAAGAGAAATTGTAGTTACGTCTATCATCTTTAAATATCACTTTAAACTTTAAATATCTCTTTAAACTTCCACTGTTTTGAAATAGTGATTGCAGTATATTTTCTGCCCATCCTGCTAATACTTTATTTCATTGAACCACAGCCAGCACATACAGTAAATATGCATCACCTTTGTCTGTATTCTTGAGGATTCTGCTTTGTATTGTTAGTGAAAAATAACACTGAAAAGGAAGAATAAATTGTTTAAGGAGTCAATGCGATGACTCAGGCAAGTGCATATACCACTGTTTTAGAGAATAGCAAATCAGCATCCTCTCATAATCTTTGAACGTGTCTTGGAACAAATAGTTCTGCATGAGTCCATAGATTTTTATTCTCATTTTCAAAAGAATGTGTCTCTTAACTCATTCCTTATTAATATATAATTTCAGAGTGTGCTGCCTTTGAAACACAATCTGTTTATTTTTAAAAGTAGCAACCTGTTTGGAACTTCTAAAATCAAATCGTGATAGATTATAACTGTTAGTATTTTAGATTTTTAAAATTAGAGATCAATGTAAAAATGTAAAATCTGTTCCTCAGCCAAATTTGAGATCATCTGCATAGATATCATAATGGAAGACAGTTATGGATGTATGGATGGGGAAGCTTACTGAGAAAATATATCATAAGTCAATAAGAGGGTGTATAATAGCCATCAGGGATTCCTAAAATGTACTGCCCAATAGAAGACAGCAAACATAACGTGACTGAGAAGTTACATATTTGGGAAGAAACCAGGACAGTGTCACATCATCTATGCAAAGGAAGACTGCCTCAAAAGGGAAGTAGCACTCAGCAATATGGATTGTTGATAAGGGATGAAGCAAGGGACGTGTGGAAAATGTTTCCAGTTTCCTAGCATAGCTAGGGAGATGAAGGAGAAATAATAAGATCAAAGAAGATATTCTAAACATGTTAAAACCTATTTACATAAAAAAATAGGAATATGCCTATAAACATTGTCAAAAATATGCATTGGCAACACAGTACAAAATATACATGAATTTCTGGCAAATATTTAAAAACTCAGACAATTTGGCTATGTGGGAAAGGAGTGATAGAGGATTCTAAGTGGAAAAAGTAGTAAAATCCAAGAAAAAAATTATGTTTAAAGACTGATTGAAAGACTCCGGGGACAGGAAGAGTCTGCAAAAGAAAAGTAAAGAAATATTTGGTGGGTAAAGCCCCTGAGAAGGAATAGTGGGTGGTCATGCAGCACCACAGGCACTGGCCTGAGGCACCAGGAGCTGCTCCTGCCTTGAAGCAGCAGGGAAGAAGAAAAAGACGGTAGTAATTTGGACAGGTTTTGAAGGGATTTTGTGATAGGATTTCTATTTTTTTATATTTTAGGAAGCACAGCTATTTGTAGGGCTTTGTGGAAATTGGTGATTATTAGCTAATGGTTCAACCAATCTGCTTTTTCCTTTTTTTATTATTAATTTTTACTTGTATTTTAAGTGCCGTGATACATGTGCAGGATGTGCAGGTTTGTTAGAGGTAAACATGTGCCATGGCGGTTTGCTGCACCTATAAACCTGTCACCTAGGTATTAAGCCCAGCATGCATTACTTATTCTTCTCAATGCTCTCGTTCTCCCCACTCCACCCCTTACAGGCCCCCAGTGTGTGTTGTTCCCCTTCCTGTGTCCATGTGTTCTCATTGTTCAGCTCCCACTTTAAGTGAGAACATGTGGTGTTTAGTTTTCCGGTCTTACAAATGTAGTTTGTAAGCTTCCCCATCCATACATCCATAACTGTCTTCCATTATGATATCTATGCAGATGATCTCAAATTTGGCTGAGGAACAGCTTTTACATTTTTACATTGATCTCTAATTTTAAAAATCTAAAATACTAACAGTTATAATCTATCACGATTTGATTTTAGAAGTTCCAAACAGGTTGCTACTTTTAGTTTGCTGAGGATAATGGCTTCCAGCTCCATCCACGTCCCTCCAAACGACATGATCTCATTCTTTGTTATGGCTGCATAGTATTCCGTGGTGTATACATACCACATTTTCTTTATCCAGTCTATCACTGATGGGGATTTGAGTAGATTCCATGTCTTTGCTCTTGTCAATAGTGCTGCAATGAACATATGTGTGCATATATCTTTGTAATAGAATGCGAATCTGCTTTTTTCATAACCATACTCAACAACTCTCAGCTTCTGGGGAACACCCCTGGCTAAATTTGGCTCCATCTGAGTTCATTTTATTTGGTTTCATTCAGAGCTATGATTTTTGTCCAGGCAAGTGTGATGAAAAAGATAGAGGCATAAAACAACTTGAGACATTGGCAAGCATGTTCTTGAAATGATGCTCCTAAGAACTTAATCCATGTATGATTAGTGTAGAAGAACAGGCCTATCTGCTGAGAATTCAGTCACTGATATCAGTGACTGAAAGTCTCCAAAAAAGTGAATGAAGTCATAGGGCTGGCATTGAACATGTGAGCTGGAAGAAAGGAGGTTGAGATGGTGATTTTTATAGGTTCATCAATTTGAGGTGATGACAAGTTCAAGATCTGACTTTAAGGGTGGGTTGCTGTGGAGATATGAATGATGATAAAGTAATTAATAATAGGAAGAATAAAGTTTGTTGAGAGTCTATGAGGATCCAGACTCGTTTTTGGTACATTTTATCTACTTCTTTCTTTCTTTCTTTCTTTTTTTTTTTTCTTTTGAGATGAAGTTTTGCTCTTGTCCCCCAGGCTGGAGTGCAATGACGCTATCTTGGCTATCTTGGCTTGCTGCAACCTCCGCCTTCTGGGTTCAAGCGATTCTCCTGCCTCAGCCTCCCGAGTAGCTGGGATTACAGGTGCCTGCCACTATGCTGGGTTAATTTTTGTATTTTTAGTAGAGACGAGGTTTCACCATGTTGGCCAGGCTGGTCTCACACTCCTGACCTCTGGTGATCCACCCGCCTCAGCCTCCCAGAGTGCTGGGATTACAGCCGTGAGCCACCATGCCCAGCCCTACTTACTTATTTCTCTCGACAATCTTAAATTCAGAAATTATAATTATCCTTGTTTCACTTATGAGAAAATTAAGACACTGACAGTTTAGTAACTTTCTTTGGGGGTTGTGAATGAAGCTTTCTGGTTCAGAAATGGGAAGGCAGGTAGACTACACAGTCCATAGCTTTGGCTCAAACATGTATTGTCTCTTTAAAATGCCTGGCATAGGGTAGTTCTTATATGTAGATACTAAAGTCATCCAGGATGTTGACGTTTAGGGTAGAAAAGAAGACTATAATCAAAGTGCTCAACTTTTCAATAAATGAGAGAAAGGATGCAAAGTCAGATGACAATCAGCAGAAAGGGAAGAGATGGCTGAAGTGCATGGCATGAGCTGCATTAGGCAAGTCTGACTAAAAGAATAATCCGGAACATCTGGTAGATACTATGTGAATATAAGAGGAACACATCCTCAACACCTGGCATGTATATATTCTTATCCTCATATCCTTGCTATATATCTATATCTATCTATCTATCTATATGTGTATATATATATATATAGAGAGAGAGAGAGAGAGAGAGAGGAGAGATCTATCTCCCTGTATATATATAGACAGAGAGAGAGAGAGCAAGATTTGAGATAATTCCAGGAAAAAATGAAAGATCACATCTCATTTAAAACAAAAGGTAGAATAAACACAAATTAGATTGGAGATACAGGAGATGTGTTTGTTAGGAAGAAAGTGATCCAGATAGCTCTGAGGAAGAAATTGAGGGATTAGTGAAGGAAAAGGTTTGGGTAAATGGGTAAAATGCAGGAAGCATAATGTGTTATGAGAGAGGATGTCGAACAAGAAGTTTGAAGGCTAAGGTTGGTTATTCTCTGTGGAGTGATGAATGAAAACAGATCTCAGCTTTCCCTTTGAAGAGGCTGAGTACTGGCTTTAAAAACAAAAGGACTTAGGTCACATTGCTAGGGTGAAGGCAGTCTCAAAAGTTGCAGATCTCTGACTTGATTGGTAGAGACTGCCTGGAGCACCTTGTTGATAAAGTTCTAAGGTCATATCCTAACTCAGCAGGAAGGATCAGTGATTGGGTAGCTGTATCTACCAGGGACACAGAAAGAGACAGTGGAGAACACATAGTTGTGCTTGCTAACTTAGATTCAGAATTTATCTGGCAGTCACACCTTCCATAGAAGTATCCATTTAAATAATAAAATATTTAACAAAGAATCTATTTATCACATGATTTCCTAAAGAAATGTCTCTATAAAAACTATTTCACCAAGATATTGTGTTTAAAATAAGATATATAAGTTCAGGTCATAGTAGAGAATAGATAGCACCAACGAGATATATTAAAGCACCAAATGACATGTAACAGGAGGGAGTATTTTTTTTATTGCACTTTAAGTTCTAGGGTACATGTGCACAACGTGCAGGTTTGTTACATATGTATACATGTGCCATGTTGGTGTGCTGCACCCATTAACTTGTCATTTACATTGAGTATATCTCCTAATGCTTTCCCTCCCCCCTCCCCCCACCCCACGACAGGCCCCGGTGTGTGATGTTCCCCTTCCTGTGTCCAAGTGTTCTCATTGTTCAATTCCCGCCTATGAGTGAGAACATGCGGTGTTTGGTTTTTTGTTCTTGCAATAGTTTGCTGAGAATGATGGTTTCCATCTTCATCCATGTCCCTACAAAGGACATGAATGCTTCCTTTTTTATGGCTGCATACTATTCCATGGTGTATATGTGCCACATTTTCTTAATCCAGTCTATCATTGATGGACATTTGGGTTGGTTCCAAGTCTTTGTTATTGTAAATAGTGCCGCAATAAACATATGTGTGCATGTGCCTTTATAGCAGCATGATTTATAATCCTTTGGGTATATACCCAGTAATAGGATGGCTGGGTCAAATGGTATTTCTAGTTCTAGTTCCTTGAGTAATCACCACACTGTCTTCCACAATGGTTGAACTAGTTTACAGTCCCACCAACAGTGTAAAAGTGTTCCTATTTCTCCACAGCCTCTACAGCACCTGTTTTTTCCTGACTTTTTAATGATCGCCATTCTAACTGGTGTGAGATGGTATCTCATTGTGGTTTTTGATTTGCATTTCTCTGATGGCCAGTGATGATGAGCATTTTTTTGTATGTCTGTTGGCTGCATAAATGTCTTCTTTTGAGAAGTGTCTGTTCATATCCTTCGCCCAGTTTTTGATGGCGTTGTTTTTTTCTTGTAAATTTGTTTGAGTTCATTGTAGATCCTGGATATTAGCCCTTTGTCAGATGAGCAGATTGCAAAAATTTTCTCCCATTCTGTAGGTTGCCTGTTCACTCTGATGGTAGTTTCTTTTGCTGTGCAGAAGCTCTTTAGTTTAATTAGATCCCATTTGTCAATTTTGGCTTTTGTATTAATGCTACTAAAATTGAAGGTGCAAGGCAGTGAAAAAGTGTTACCAGGATCTAGAGAATTTGACTGCATGACTCTAGCTGTAGCAACAGAAATAACAAAATGGCTGATAAAACAGTGTCCCAACAAGAAGAAAGCTGTAGAATAAACACCCTAATCTTTCTCTACCACAGTCCTCTCAATTGTTGCTAATGCATTCCTTTGGAAGCTAGAGAGCATGGGACCCTGCTAAGGTCATGCATCAATGGCAGCCTCCTGGAGCAAAGGCATAAGGTACAGAAGGATCTAGGAGGCTAACCATTAAAATTTTCCCCAAGAAAGATGATGTCATCACACTCAGGGCTGCCACACATGGTTGTGTCCATTGTGCAGTGCACAACCCCAAGAGGCACCATCCACATAAGCAGCAGTATTGTATGCCCATTCTGCCTGTCTTGCAGGTATGACTGTGATTTATCAAACTTTGAAAGCATAATCAGATTATAATTTGTCTTTTTCACATAATAGCTAAACTTCAAATAGAAGAATTCAAGGCTATCATGATAGTGGACTATTCATGTCCATTAATTGGGAACCAGCTGTGGCACAGGGTAGCCTTACATAAGTGCCTATTTATTTTCTGTTTTTTGTTTGTATATTAGTAACACACGATTTAATGTAACTCACAACTGGAACTCTTATCACATCAATAAATATTTTATTATAATATACATTTAATAAAATATATTGTAATATTTTATTATAATAGCAATAATATTTTATTATCTAACACTATGTAAAACAGACCAAAAAAAGTTCTCAATGCAGTTCTAGCCTTGTGAATTTAGTAAAGATGTTGGACAACACCGAATGGAAAACATAGGTGATGCGTGTGAAGTGTGTTAATGAGATCTTCATCACTGTTATTAAGACTACTCTCCTTCAAATAGATTTCAAGTATTTCTAATAGAATCATAATTATAGATAATGTGATACCTGATTTTTCTTTACTAATTCAATATAAAAATATTTGAGGGAACAATAAATTAATTAAGAAATAAAGTCGTATCCTTTTCTACTGTTAAAAATTTAGAAACATGATTTGAATACATATAAATTTTAAACACTTTTGACAATTGATTTTAATAGTCTTAAAGCATAGTACTTAGATTTTCATGGGAAACCAGATTTAGGTAATGTCCTCCTGCTGGTTCAAATTTCAGTATATAAACTTTATATTTACAGAATATGATAAAATAGCACTTGAATAGAGAGAAATCAGCCATATGTAAAATTGACTAACCATGTGTTTATTTAGCCTTCCATATCTTATTAAACAACATCATCTTTGTTTAGAGAATAATCAGGACTGCTAAAGGCAGTTTATCAAATATTCACTGTAATGTCTACAGAAAGAATCTTGTTAGAGGAGAAAGCAAATTTTATTATCAATTTTATGGCAAATAAAACCCTGATGGGGGTTAACAGAGAAGCCTTAGGGTCTGAAAGAAAAAGTTAATATACATGGTGTGGGAAACATTTACCAAAACTTTTTGTTTACTCAATTCCATTGCATATTATATAAATATGTGTTAAGGTACTTAAATAATGTTTGAACTACAAAATGCAATATTTCAAAACCTTACCTAATAAGAAAATTATAGAATTTTTTTATTAATTGTCATATTACAGAATATGATTTGACACAGTATCTTCAAATAAAGAGTATCTATGACATGATGGCATAGAAACAATAGGGATAGAGAAGCAAGAGAAAATTTTAATGTATTCATACTTCCTATTTCCTTAGCACGAATTCCAATTCAAAGACTCAGATTTTTGCTCAAATGACTGAAATAATGCATTAATGTTATACTGTCATTCCAAATTCCACCACGTGTCATTTAAGTCTCAAAGTTCAATTAAAGTGACAAGGATGACACACATCAATAGTTAGGGAGGAAAAATAAAAAGTGAGGGAACTTCTAAATGACATTTAATTATGATCTCATGGTAGAAATTATTCTACAAAGAAAGGAAATGCAATAGAAAGCAAGATGTCATACTTTGGAATTTTCATCCCCAGAGACAGTTAGCCAAAAAAACCTGTAGCAGGGTGTGATTAAGTCTGTATGTTGTTCTTGACCTCATTAATGGAGTCAGCGGATGGATTTCCAGATCAATTTGTATGCAAATGTAACAGAAATAAGAATGCATCTTTACAACTAATCTGCCCACTTTTAGACTATGTACTTTTTTTCCTCTCTTGCCATCTTCGTTTATTCACTGAATGATATTTATTGATGCCCTCACAAAAGTGTCTTGAAAACTGACTGTATATGGTAGACAAGAAAAGGAAAATGTAAATCTACAATTTTATTTTATATGAGAATGTGTGGTATTTAAATGCAGCCTAACATTCTCTGAAGACTTTTATAGGTGTGATTTTCTTTAGTCCTAAATTTTTCTAGTGCATCCTAATATACTGGAAAGTGACTAATCAATAAGTACAGACCTTGGCACGGTTACAGCCCATTCAGCTTGAGAGATGGAAGGGGACATTTCATGTCATTACAACAAACAATATGAGCCAAAATGGAGACGTCTTTTGCTGGTAATGAAAAGTCTACAACTATAAGACTTTTGTTTGTGAGAGTGGTGTACATTTTTGGTATTATGAATGCAGTGTCAATCTGATATGATATTCATTATGTATATGGTTCACACTTGTTTGATTTCAACTGTTTATTCAATTAAAGTCAGTCAATAAATAATATATTGTGAAGTATCTAGTTATTGTCATTTTTTTCATATTATTTGACACAGTATATTCAAATAAAGGATATCTATGACACGAAGGTATTATTAGAAACATTGGGGAAAAATTAGTTTTACTTTTGTATCATTTTATAAAGATTATACAAACCTGAACTAGGCAGATGAGGTGAAATAAGCCTGAAAAGGGGAAATCTAAGAGGCTTACAGGAGGAAAAACCAGTAAGATTTATGACTAGTTATGTTTAAGCAAGTAAGAGGTAAAACCAGAATCAACCCTAATTGAAGAATGCCCTTCTGGGACACCAAGAGTGCTGAGTCCCTGAGTAGGGTCTCAGGTTAAATATAGGGCAGACTGAAATTTACAAGCCATTATTAAAAAGCACTTGAACTTCAGATTCCATTTTAATCAGACTGATAATATGCGATTTTTCCCTCTTCCTCCCAAGATCCTATTAAAAATAGTAGTACACAATAATGAAAACAATGAAGTTAAAAAACGAACAGGGCTAATGTTCCCGCAGTCTTAAAATGCTAAGTCCTCACTTATCATGGCAAAAGTCAGTAGGTAATATTCACAGTTAATGAATTTATATTCAGTATTATAATTATCTAATGTAGTGATGTGAAAGTAACCAACAGAATAAAAGAGACAGAAATTTTTGTTTTGAAGTATTAGGGGTGGGACAAGGAGCAGTGGAGCAATGTAACCTTTGCTTTTCCTTATAAGGCCTTGTGTACCACTGGATTTATAAGCGGTGTGTGTGTGTGTGTGTGTGTGTGCACGCACATGTGTCTACGTGTGTGTTTAATAAAACATAACACTACTAAGGAAAAAATAGTATTGTATGTACTGAGAATTCAACACATTCCTAAATATGCTATTTACATTAAAGCAGGAATTTCTAATCACACATTTAAACTTCCATCAGCTGCCTTAAAATTTAATAGTCAATACCTTTCTTGTAAATATCAATTATGTAAAAATATTTATAAAGTTCCTGAAAGGATAAGTTATAATATGCTATTTTAATTTTAATTACATATTAAGGATTCATATATAATCCTGATAAACTTTTTGGCTCAGATATGCTTTCAATTGCTTGAAAATATGGTATACATTTGTGAATATGCATCATTGATGCTTTTTGGCAGCCTAGTTTAAATTAGTATGGAGATTTATAAAATCTCAATATTTTGGCATCATTTTCAGTAGCAGATCAACGAAAGTCTTTCCAACACCTATTTAAAAATGAGGTAATATGTTGCTCACTGCTCTTTAAGCATGCTAAGGAATAAGGGTTCTCATTCAAATCCTCTCTATATTAACCTGTCAATCCCTGTCAATTCACAGAAAACCTCCACCAACTGTGAGCCTGAAAAGTAATGCCTGCTATTAGAAGAGCTCAAGGCCCACAAACATCCCTTATATGACAACATGCCTTTAGTAGAATGCTGTGATTTCTTCTGTTAACTTCATCAAAATATCTATTCATTTTAAATACACAATTCAATGATTTTCAGTACATTAACAGAGTGGTGTAAACAATACCAAAATCTAATTTTAGATACCTCCAACACCCTAAAAAACAAACATTGTGCCCATATATATTCACTTCTAAGTCCCACATGTGGCCCCACATCACCACCGATCTACTTTCTGTCTCTATGGATTTATGGTCAGTTCTTTATGAATAACTTGAGATTAGACATTTTTAGTCAACTCAAAGCTTGAAACCTTTTGTTCAGTTAAAGTATTAAAATAAAATAATTTCTCATGTCTTAATTTTGCTTACTATTTATTCAAAAAGCAGTCTAGAATCCATGAATACTTTCCAGTGTCATTACTCAATTGTTTGACTTTGGCTGTTTTCTACCATATTTATTTTAATATATCATTGATCAAAATTAGCTGGATGACTGGCAAATCAACATCATAGTTGTATAAATTAACCAGATGCAATGCTTAGGTTAATAGCATAGTCTGTAAAACACTGACTACTTGTCAAATTTTCCTTACCTTGGACAATCAAATTCAGGTTTAGAACTCTGTTTGTAATTAGCTACAATTGTTTTTTAAACATAAATTCATTTATTTATATGTGTACTTTGGGTTGTAAGTATATTGATAAGTTTTCCCTGAACTGAAGAGTTAGCCTAATTGTGACCAAACTCTTATAAAGAGTGATGTCAATTCCCAGTGTAGTAGTAACAATTTCTGCAAATTACTAGCTAAAATTATTATTTTATAATTTATCCAAATCCAGTGAGAATAGTTTGGATACATTGGATTAAGACCAAAACACTATCATTTTATAGATCAACATAAAACAATATAGAAACCTTTCTTTTAAAAATTATGAATTGCCTGGGCAATGGCTTTGGCAAAATAAGCCCATTAGCCTACCATCTTTCACTGCACCTCAGGAGTAAGAGAAAGGTTGGTCATTCTCAAAGCTGAAATCTTGTCAGCATCACTGTAGATTTATGAGGCAGTGTTCTAATCCCTCATTATTATCTGTCTTGTTGTTCTCCATTACTGCGTCCTCAAGGAGGCTGTTTTGTTGTGTACTCCTCATGTCATGCTCAGCTGAAGTATAACTGACTGGAAGACCACCTACACTTATGGTGCATTCACACACAAATGAGTAGATGCTAGAAAAGTTGTACATCCATTAAGCAGAGAATTAGTTTTGATGTTATTCATTTATCTATCAAATACACTTAGACATATGAGTTCTGTGAAGGCTTGTTTACTTAGAAATGGTGCTTTACTCTTAGAAAGGGGAAATGAAAGATATTGCTGCTGTCAATGAGTTTAAAAGCTTTTATGCAGAAGTCTGAAAAATGAGAACTTACCTCATTTTTCCATTGTCTGTTTTGTGGCATTTTCAAAGTGAATTCTTTCAGCAGGCTATTTTCATGCTGTGATCAGAAAGAAAATACACCCTTACTTTGTGTTGCCTTATTCCATCTCTAAAGAGAAATGTATAGAAATTTAAGTCATCAGTGACTTAAATATTTCCAACTGCAGGTAGTCTTTTAAAAACATAATAAAATATGATGAACAGATAATTTAAAATGTTGGTTTTCATTTGTTAGTAAAAATGTGCTAAATTTGATGTGATTTGGCATATTTGGGAAGTGAGGAAGGGCAAGTCAGGGGAAATAGTCATCAGGAGCATGATCAGGTTTGTGAAGGAGAAGTACAGGATGTTGTCTAAAATATGGTAGGGACATGCATGCTGATATGAGGAGTCTTGGAAGCTCTTTGGGGAAGTGGCAGATAAGTCTAACTCTAAAGATTAATATTTAACAATGAAAAGAGAAGAAGATGAATGTTCAGACTTCAGAAATCAGACAGTGAATGCTTGGAGACAGACCATCTACCAAATAACAGTCAATATTTTTGACATAACCTTCAAAATGAACTCATAATATTTTAATATCTTTTAACATTGTTGACATTAGAAACTTGATAATTCTTAGTGAAACTAAAAGTGAAAAAATATGTTCAAAGCACTCACATACAGTTAGGAATGAATGTGCATAGTTAATTGTCCAATGGCACACATTATATTAGTTACTTTAACATAATACCTATTCTATTAATAATTTATTAATACTCTAACATAGACACAGAAAGTTCTATTAAAATAGTGTCATGCATCACTTAATGATAAAGACACATTCTGAGAATTGTAGCATGAGGCATTTGTCATCGTGTGAACATAATAGAGTGTACTCACACAAACATAGATGGTATAGCCTAATATACACCTAAGCTACAGCTAAGCCTTGTGGTATAGCCTTTTGCTCCTAGGCCACAAACCTATACAGCATGTTACTATGCTGAATACTGGAGGCAATTGAACACATGGCAAGTATTTGTGTATCTAAGCATATCTGACCATAGAAAAGGTACAGTAAAAATACAGTATTATAATCTTATAGGATCACAGTTGCATATGCAGTCCATTGTTGATGGAAATGTTCTGTGGTTCATGACTGTTTATGTCTAATTCAGGGTACTCTGCATTAACATTGCATACTTCATAATCATGTAATAATTTCAAGATGCTTGAATCCATCATAACACAGCCAATTTTTCTAAGTATCCTATTTGGGTTTATGAATAGAATTAAGAATAGTTATTGAATATCCTGACTCAAATTTTATCTTCATAACAAAATACATTTATTCTGTGCAGTGTTTACATGTTAGATAAAGACTTAAAATGAAGTCAAAAACTAAAATGTACATTCCCAGTTCTATTACCTTGTTAATTTTGAGTGATGAGTTTTTTTCTAGACTTTCACATAAATATGTTTTGCCCTTCTAAGGTATATCACATAAACAATTGGAAAGCCTGCTTTTTCAATTCAACTTAAATAAACACTAGGCTAAATTGCTTAAAATTTCACTGGAAACATTCAACATTCTTAAAGAAAATAATTTTCAACCCAGAATTTCATATCCAGCCAAACTAAGCTTCATAAGTGAAGGAAAAGTAAAATCCTTTACAGACAAGCAAATGCTGAGAGATTTTGTCACCACCAGGCCTGCCCTAAAAGAGCTCCTGAAGGAAGCACTAAACATGGAAAGGAACAACCGCTACCAGCCACTGCAAAAACATGCCAAATTGTAAAGAACATCAAGGCTAGGAAGAAACTGCATCAACTAATGAGCAAAATAAACAGCTAACATCATAATGATGGGAACAAATTCACACATAACAATACTAACCTTAAATGTACATGGGCTAAATGTTCTAATTAAAAGGCACAGACTGGCAAATTGGATAAACAGTCAAGACCCATCAGTGTTCTGTATTCAGGAAACCCATCTCACATGCAGAGACACACACAGGCTCAAAATAAAGGGATGCAGGAAGATCTACCAAGCAAATGGAAAACAAGAAAAGGCAGGGGTTGCAATCCTAGTTTCGGATAAAATAGACTTTAAACCAACAAAGATCAAAAGAGACAAAGAAGGCCATTACATAATGGTAAAGGGATCAATTCAACAAGAAGAGCTAACTATCCTAAATATATATGCACCCAATACCCAATACAGGAGCACCCAGATTCATAAAGCAAGTCCTTAGAGACCTATGAAGAGACTTAGACTCCCACACAAAAATAATGGAAGACGTTAACACCACACTGTCAACATTAGACAGATCAACGAGACAGAAAGTTAACAAGGATATCCAGGAATTGAACTCAGCTCTGCATCAATCCGACCTAATAGACATCTACAGAACTCTCCACCCCAAATCAACAGAATATACATTCTTTTCAGTACCACACCGCACCTATTCCAAAATTGACTACATAGTTGGAAGTAAAGCACTCCTCAGCAAATGTAAAAGAACAGAAATTATAACAAACTGTCTCTCAGACCACAGTGCAATCAAACTAGAACTCAAGATTAAGAAACTCACTCAAAACCGCTCAACTACATGGAAACTGAGCAACCTGCTCCTGAATGACTACTGGGTACATAACGAAATGAAGGCAGAAATAAAGATGTTCTTTGAAACCAATGAAAACAAAGACACAACATACCAGAATCTCTGGGACACACTCAAAGCAGTGTGCAGAGGGAAATTTATAGCACTAAATGCCCACAAGAGAAAGCAGGAAAGATCTAAAATTGACACCCTAACATCACAATTAAAAGAACTAGAAAAGCAAGAGCAAACACATTCAAAAGCTAGCAGAAGGCAAGAAATAACTAAGATCAGAGCAGAACTGAAGGAAATAGAGACACAAAAAACCCTTCAAAAAAATCAATGAATCCAGGAGCTGGGTTTTTGAAAAGATCAACAAAATTGATAGACCACTAGCAAGACTAATAAAGAAGAAAAGAGAGAAGAATCAAATAGACGCAATAAAAAATGATAAAAGGGATATCACCACCGATCCCACAGAAATACAAACTGCCATCAGGGAATACTATAAACACCTCTACGCAAATAAATGTGAAAATCTAGAAGAAATGGGTAAATTCCTCAACACATACACTCTCCCAAGACTAAACAGGAAGAAGTTGAATCTCTGAATAGACCAATAACAGGCTCTGAAATTGAGGCAACAATTAATAGCTTACCAATCAAAAAAAGTCCAGGACCAGATGGATTCACAGCCGAATTCTACCAGAGGTACAAGGAGGAGCTGGTACCATCCCTTCTGAAACTATTCCAATCAACAGAAAAAGAGGGACTCCTCGCTAACTGATTTTATGAGGCCAGCATCATCTTGATACCAAAGCCTGGCAGAGACATAACAATAAAAGAGAATTTTAGACCAATATCCTTGATGAACATTGATGCAAAATCCTCAATAAAATACTGGCAAAACGAATCCAGCAACACATCAAAAAGCTAATCCACCATGATCAAGTGGGCTTCATCCTTGGGATGCAAGGCTGCTTCAACATACGAAAATCAATAAATGTAATCCAGCATATAAACAGAACCAAAGACAAAAACCACATGATTATCTCAATAGATGCAGAAAAGGCCTTTGACAAAATTCAACAACCATTCATACTAAAAACTCTCAATAAATTAGGTATTAATGGGACATATCTCAAAATAATAAGTGCTATCTATGACAAACCCACAGCCAATATCATACTCAATGGACAAAAACTGGAAGCATCCCCTTTGAAAACTGGCACGAGACAGGGATGCCCTCTCTCACCACTCCTATTCAACATAGTGTTGGAAGTTCTGGCCAGGGCAGTCAGGCAGGAGAAGGGAATAAAGGGTATTCAATTAGGAAAAGAGGAAGTCAAATTGTCCCTGTTTGCAGATGACATGACTGTATATCTAGAAAACCCCATTGTCTCAGCCCAAAATCTCCTTAAGCTGATAAGCAACTTCAGCAAAGTCTCAGGATACAAAATCAATGTACAAAAATCACAAGCATTCTTATACACCAATAACAGACAAACAGAGAGCCAAATCATGAGTGAACTCCCATTCACAATTGCTTCAAAGAGAATAAAATACCTAGGAATCCAGCTTACAAGGGATGTGAAGGACCTCTTCAAGGAGAACTACAAACCACTGCTCAATGAAATAAAAGATGATACAAACAAATGGAAGAACATTCCATGCTCATTGGTAGGAAGAATCAATATCGTGAAAATGCCCATACTGCCCAAGGTAATTTATACATTCAATGCCATCCCCATCAAGCTACCGATGCCTTTCTTCACAGAATTGGAAGAAACTACTTTAAAGTTCATATGGATCCAAAAGAGAGCCCACATCACCAAGTCAATCCTAAGCCAAAAGAACAAAGCTGGAGGCATCATGCTACCTGACTTCAAACTATACTACAAGGCTACAGTAACCAAAACAGCATGGTACTGGTACCAAAACAGAGATATGGACCAATGGAACAGAACAGAGCCCTCAGAAATAACTCCGCATATCTACAACTATCTGATCTTTGACAAACCTGACAAAAACAAGAAATGGGGAAAGGATTCCTTATTTAATCAATGGTGCTGGGAAAACTGGCTAGCCGTATGTAGAAAGGTGAAACTGGATCCCTTCCTTACACCTTACACAAAAATTAATTCAAGATGGATTAAAGACTTCAATGTTAGACCTAAAACCATAAAAGCCCTAGAAGAAAACCTAGGCAGTACCATTCAGGACATAGGCATGGGCAAGGACTTCATGTCTAAAACACCAAAAGCAATGGCAACAAAAGACAAAATTGACAAATGGGATCTCATTAAACTAAAGAGCTTCTGCACAGCAAAAGAAACCACCATCAGAGTGAACAGGCAACCTACAGAATGGGAGAAAATTTTTGCAACCTACTCATCTGACAAAGGGCTAACATCCAGAATCTACAATGAACTCAAACAAATTTACAAGAAAAACCAAAAAACCCCATCAAAAAGTGGGCAAAGGATATGAACAGAGACTTCTCAAAAGAAGACATTTATGCAGCCAAAAAACACATGAAAAAATGTTCATTATCACTGGCCATCAGAGAAATGCAAATCAAAAACCACAATGAGATACCATCTCACACCAGTTAGAATGGCGATCATTAAAAAGTCAGGAAACAACAGGTGCTAGAGAGGATGTGGAGAAATAGGAACACTTTTACACTGTTGGTGGGACTGTAAACTAGTTCAATCATTGTGGAAGTCAGTGTGGCGATTCCTCAGGGATCTAGAACTAGAAATACCATTTGACCCAGCCATCCCATTACTGGGTATATACCCAAAGGATTATAAATCATGCTGCTATAAAGACACATGCACACATATGTGTATTGCGGCACTATTCACAATAGCAAAGACTTGGAACCAACCCAAATGTCCAACAACGATAGACTGGATTAAGAAAATGTGGCACATATACACCATGGAATAGTATGCAGCCATAAAAAAGGAAGCATCCATGTCCTTTGTAGGGACATGGATGAAGCTGGAAACCATCATTCTCAACAAACTATTGCAAGAACAAAAAACCAAACACCGCCTGTTCTCACTTATAGGTGGGAATTGAACAGAGAGAACACATGGACACAGGAAGGGGAACATCACACACCTGGGCCTGTTGTGGGGTGGGGGAAGCGGGGAGGGATAGCATTAGGAGATATACCTAATGCTAAATGATGAGTTAATGGGTGCAGCACACCAACCTGGCACATGTATACATATGTAACAAACCTGCATGTTGTGCACATGTACCCTAATACTTAAAGTGTAATAATAATAAAAAAAGGCTAAATTATATTATCGCAGACAATTATCAATATATTCACAACCTTCCTTTTTTTCTATCTGCTTTTATTCACTAAGTTGTGCACCTAGACAGAGGCAGCCTCTGAGTTGAAATACAGTGATTTCTCAATTGACTAACCCTCTGTTTTCAAAACCTGAAGAACGCCATTCATTCTGAGTTTCCAAGGAGTCGTCCAAAGGTAAAAAGTCTTTAGTGTGAAGACTGAATATGCTAAAGATACAATGGCCAGACCATATGTTATAACAGAAAGCTGACCTCCAACCTCTGCTACAGCCAGTCCCAATACTTGGCCAATGGATGTTATTCTCCCTGTTTTGTTTTGTTTTGTTTTTTCACACCCACCCCAACTCAGAACCAACCAGAAGCCAAATATGTTTCCCCAATTAATTATATGAGATGCTCTGTTTTTATTTAGCCTTCCTCCAGGTTCCCCATGACCTCTGGCTCTGAGAGCGTACACCTGAGCCTTCTCTTTTTTCACTATTAGGTTTTCCCACTCCGTTGCTTGCCTGTAAGTCTCTGCCAAATGCAAGTGATGGTGGCCGAACCCCTTTGTACAGCAACTTCTGAATAAATAGCCTCTGTTAGTTCTCATTTGATTTGTCTTCATTTATTTCCTTAAGTGTTTGTTGGAAATCTTTGATGCATGAAGGAGGGACTAATCAAGGGCTATTGTCTCCAGGTCCAGCACATGGAGAGGAGACAGGGCCAGCTTTGCAGTGACATTTGGCAGTGTCCAGTACAGTAGTGTCCATCCATACAGAGCTTATAACCAGCTGTGTCAGAAATGAAAGGATCTTTCCTAAAGAAGGAGGGGAAAAGAGAGGGCCTTACTGAGTTGTATAAAAGGAGGAATGGTTTAGTCCGGAACAGAGCCTTGTAAAAACTCAGTACAACTATTACGCACATAATATTAGGCAGCCACCTTGCCTAATTAGCTCCCTAAGTTTTCAATACATTCTTAATTTCTTCCCTTTACTTTTATTGGATATAAGTTATTTGTCATATAGAAGGTTTTCAAGTATTTTCTTTCAGTCTGTGGCTTGTCTTTTTATTCCCATGAGTGTTCTTTGCAGAGGAAATTTTTAAAATTTTCATGATCTAATTTAACATTTTTCTTTCATATTTTATAGTATTTGTGCCCTATTTCTTTCTCTTCTCTTTATGGTACTCCAATTTTATCCATGGTATTTCATTTGATACTGCCCCAAAAGCTTATTGGTGCTCTATTCACTTTGCAGAGTCTGGTTTTGTTTTGTTCTGTTTTGTTGTTTTCCCCCCACACTGTGTTTCATTTGGAAGTTTCTACCACAAATTCTTCAAATTCACTAATCTTTTGTTCTTCAGCTAACACTTGAGGCAATCTCTCCACAGAACTCTAGCAGTATTTTTTCTCCAGTATTTTGTCCTACAAATCCTATCACCTTCTCCTACACAAAAACTGAACTTTGGCTGGACGTGGTGGCTCAAGCCTGTAATCCCAGCACTTTGGGAGGCTGAGGTGGGCAGATCACCTGAGGTCAGCAGTTCAAGACCAGCCTGACCAACATGGTGAAACCCCGTCACTACTAAAAATATAAAATTAGCCGAGCGTTGTGGCACATGCCTGTAATCCCAGCTACTTGCGAGGTCGAAGCAGGAGAATCACTTGAATCCGGGAGGCGGAGGTTGCAGTGAGCAGAGATTGCGCCACTGCACTCTAGCCTGGGCAACAAGAGCGAAACTCCATCTAAAAACAAAACAAAACAAACAAAAACAAACAAACAAATAAAAAACTGAACCTTGTCTCTTCAACATAGCCAGCCTGCCAGCCTCTGTTTGAATTGTTCCTCTCTGATTGTGGCTCCACTCTATAATCTGAAGAAATCTGAGGGCTCAGCTGATTTGTTTCCCTTTTCTCACACATTAGCATCTTGGATTAGCTCAAATTCAGTGGTTGACAACTTATTTCATGAATTTTGTTCAGTTTTCTGATTTTTTAAAGACAAGAGGGTAAATCAGATTTCTATTATTCCATTATGGCTAGAAGTAGAATTCCTAGGAACTCTTCTTAAAATGCACAAATATTCTGCTACTTCTCTCCTTTTTCTTGCAACCTGATTACCATTTTTCTTTGACTTTGAAATCATTTGGAGGTTTTTAGGTAGACAAAGTCAAAGTACCATAAATAAATTCTATATGTGAATTCTTACACCAAACAATGTATCAGGCATTTATTTTTAGGTTTTATTTCAATAGGCTAAAATCATTATTTGTTTTATAATGATTTTAACTATTTGTGTATATTCCTATTTCATCAGTTAATTTTTTAAAAATAAATTTGAGCAAAACTTAAAGGCATTTCTCATGTCCTTATCTGTCGCATCATGTTAGAAACTTAACCAGTTATGTTTATTATATAACTGCTAATATATTTGACAAAATTTTAAAAAAATAGAAAAATGTAAAAATACTATTTTGCATAACTAACTTAAAACTCTGTTCTTTTTCTGGTTACAAATGTATGTGTGACAATATAATTATTGCTTATATCTCTAATTATATATAAAGAGCTACTATGGCAGTAAATTTCCAGTGCTGAGAAAAAAAGTAGTCAGGATTAAAATAACAATTACTCTTTTGTATTTACAAGAACCTCAATATTACATCCTGGTGACAAGCTAAACTAACTTATATATTACCTAGAAACTATTTAGGTCAGGAGAGAAAACTAAATTAGCTCTTCCAGAAATCACTGACTGGGATTATGCCAAGTATCATTTTAATTTGATATTCCTGGTAAATAGAAAAGAATATACAGATGATTTTTAAGCAAAATATGAATAGAAATTTGTAGTTTTTAAATAGTTTACTTCAATTCTAGGAGTAAAATTTCAGTCTATTCACACTCTGTCTGCAGGGTACATCAACATCCTCTATACTGTATTAATATTAAAATACATCTAAGGGCAAAATGGTAATTTTCTGTGTGTGTGTGTGAGACAGAGTCTTGCTCTGTCGCCCAGGCTGGAGTGCCGTGGCGCAATTTTGGCTCACTGCAAGCTCCCCGTCCCGGGTTCATGCCATTCTCCTGCCTCAGCCTCCCGAGTAGCTGGGACTACAGGCGCCTGCCACCACGCCCGGCTAATTTTTTGTACTTTTAGTAGAGACGGGGTTTCACCATGTTAGCCAGGATGGTCTCGATCTCCTGACCTTGTGACCCACCCGCCTTGGCCTCCCAAGGTAATATTTTTAAATCAAAATATCTTTAGATCTTATGCTCATGAGCACAAAAGAAAAATATTTTAAAGAAAAACAAACAATGTTATCATTCATTACTCATTGTTTATTACTTATATTGTTTTTACTGATATCTATGAGTTAAATTTTGTTGATTGAAATTTCTTTATGTTTTATGGATTCACTCATTCAGTCAGTATTTCTTATGGACCTATGCTGTGCCAGCTATTGTTATAGGAGCTGCAAATATAGTAATCAAAAAAGGCAAAGAAGAAGTATCTTTACTTATGAAATTTTATTTCTAGTTGCATAAGTGGCCAGTAAACAAAATAAATAATATAGTGCATTATAATATGATGTTCCATTTTACCTCCTTCCATGTAAACACACTCTTTTGGTAGCTGATGACAATTGTCCAATTAGGTATAGTTACTCCCCTAATAAAACTTAAATTCCTTTTGCACATACTAAACTATTTGCATGGGCATATGGTCAACCAGACTGTTGCTTTTCTGCCTGGGGATAAATCTGTGCCTTCCTTTCTTTATACGTTGAATTGAGCTTACTACACTGCAAATGTGGCCTATTCTCACCAGCAACCGAGAACGTTGTCCATTATCAACTCATTCACCAGGATGTCTTTTCAATCATACTAAAATAGATTGTTGGTTGTAACTTGATTTACAATCAATCTCCATGTGCAGACTCCCATCTTGTAGTTAATCAATTATGTGACATGAATATTTGAACTTATCCTTTTCTTTGTTTCCATAGTCTTAACATTCTCATTTCTTTTTATACCTCCCCTTTTGTGTTCAAGCTTCACTTTATATTTTCTATATATAGTTACTACAATTAGAGCAGTACAAATTGATCCTTTTATTATTTTCAGAAGATAAAAAAAGCAATATACCTATTTAGTCGTAATTATGTTTTGGGGTTTTATATTGTTCTGTTCTATTTTTGGTGATATATCTTACATTTCAGTATTCTTTGTTTTTTATTGACAACACTCTTTTGTACATATCTGCTCAGTTTTTAAGAACAACTATAACAGAGATAAAATCATGAAAATCAATATATAGTCAATATATATTTAATCAGTATAGTCAACCACATATGTAAATCACATGCTCATTTTCCCCTCTTGACTGTTAGCTACTGTATGTCCTAAATTTTAGGACAATTTTGATTTAAATAATTGGTCCTATTTTCAGAAGAAATATTAGATTCATATGTCCTAGTATTTTGGGAAATCATATCATCATTCCTATGAGATTACTAAATGTACCTTAGATTTAGTGACTCAGTATGAGATACAATTGCCATCACATATAGACTAAAATAAAACATAAATTGAACAGAATAGTTTAAGCATATTTGTCTGTGTTTTTTGAGCTCCCATAATGTATACAATTGAATCTTTAAGAATATTTGTCTCAAACCCCAAAATTATTTTCAAATGAGAGATTATATTTCTATATGCTCATACTGATAATAATTATTTTCTCAGTATTGTTCCTAAGTAGCACAGGTAAGGATCAAATAATTGTGGTACATAGAATAAATTACATTGTTAATGACATACTTTATCATTTATTTTTATTTTACCAGTTTTTATGTAAATATTAATGAATGCAATTGATATTAGAGAAAAACATATATATTTTGTTTCAAAGAAATTTAAAGGAAGCACAGAATATATTACATAGTACATTGCTATTGTAAGTTTATGACAGGTGAAATAGGTACTTAAAATTGCATAGTTTTATTATATTCAGTGGCTGTAATTTTTATTCTTATGTGTCAACTTCGTTAGGTTATGTAAGTAAACACTAATCTAGGTGTTGATGCAAACCACATGTATTTTCCACATGTAGTGAACATCTACAATTAATTGACTTTAAGTAAAGGAGAGTACCTTCAATAATATGGGTGGGCTTGATTAAACTGGGTAAAGCCCTTAAAAGCCAAAACAGGTTTCCTAAAAAAGAGATTCTATCTCCAGATTGCTCAAGACAAGCACCAACTCCTAACCAAATTTCCAGCCTATCAACCTATTCTACAACTTTCACACTCACTGTCCCCCTACAATGGTGTGAGCCAATTTCTTAAAATAAATCTTTCTCTCTCTATCTGCATTCTAGTGGTTCAATTTCTCTGAAAAACCCTAATACTACAAATATTAGAATTGGAATCAAAAAGAAGTAACATAAGAAAATTATTCCTTCTATTGTTTTTTGAAACAGAGTCTTGCTCTCTCACCCAGGCTGGAGAGCAGTGGCTCAATCTCAGCTCACTGCAGCCTCTACCTCCAGGCTCAAGCGATTCTTGTGCCTCAGCCTCCCTAGTAGCTGGGATTACAGGGTCATGCCACCATTCCCAGCTAATTTTTGTATTTTTAGTAGAGACAGCGTTTTGCCATGTTGGCCAGGCTGGTCTCGAACTCCTGGCCTCAAACGATCCACTCACTTCAGCCTCCCAAAGTGCCAGGATTACAGACATTAGCCACCATGCCCAGACAAGAAAAGTATTCTGCTAATAAAAAGAATATAAATTATTTGGAAGACTTACAAAATAAGTTAAATAGGCTTGGAAAATTTTGTAATTATAAGGTATTTATGAAGGTCTTACATAATTCTTCATAGAAATATATTCATATTATCAAATTATTCAGGAATTCTTTTCGTAGCAATATGTGAGATAAAGCTATTTATTACTAACACTCTAGAAATAAATATAGTTCACACATTTCATCCTAGTGTAGAAAAGAGAAGAGAGAATAAGACATCAGAGAAACAAATGGTCAGGCTTATGTGTTCCGATTTCCCACATAATTGTAGAATTAACCCAGAATGGGTCATTAGGATAAGGGAAAAGCCCAAAGTGCCACCATATTCTTAGTTTGCGAATATCAGAGAAGACTCTTCAGGCATGGAGGTCACAATACAAGAAGGGAGAAGTAGTGGTTGCTAAACTAATGAGGGTGAAGCTCAGAAGTCAATCAGCAGGGGCTGGCTCTGCATGGCTATGGTGCAATCCCCAGCTGTCCATGTTTGGGCATTAAGAAAGCCCGACTTTGCCCTCATGAGCCTCCCTTGGCTTCATAAGTATCCAAAAGTTCCCATTCTTCCATGATAGTTTAGAAAAGTTAACAGTTTTGTTGCTAGGGCCAGAGTAGGCAAAGTATCTTCATAATAAAGTTGTGATGTGCATACCTGTGCCAGAGGAAAGAGTAGAAACATCAACTATTTCATAATACAGATGATGTAAGAAAAAATATAAGGGAATTCAGCATAAAGACCAATGGAAAAGGAGAGTAACATAAAATCTTTGACAAATGGCTGAGAACTCAAGTACCCGCAAGCACCATGTCATGCAAACCTCCTGTCGCCCATAAATAGAGATTACACTTTCAGAAAGAGCAGTTGAAGGTTAGCATTTACCTGAAAGAGACTGAGTTACCTGAAAGGGACTGAGTTGCCTGGAATATACCTTAAACCAAAAAGAAAGAAAATATATCAAACTGGTAAGTTAAAATTTATATTCCACCTTTATTTATTCCCAATGGACTTTATGAGAAAGATGAAACCTGTTGAGAAAACAAAGAAGCTTTATTTCTTCTTCATATCTTAAAACAAGCATAGTAAATTGGAACTCAATTAAAATGTTTGTAGTGAAATAATTCAATAGATCATTATTGAAGAACAAATTCCCTGCCATTTGACATTTAATTGCTTGACAAGGAAAAAGAATAATAATTAAGTTGCACAGTAGAACCCTGTAGAAATTAAAGTATGTCAACACATGCTTAACATCTTATTCTACCTCCTAGAATGTTAAATGAAAGGGTTTTTAATAAATACACTCGTGATGACATCTGAAAAAATATATCTGTATATGTATATATGTATACATACATACACACATACATATACAGATACATACACATACGCATATACACTTATTTCCTATTTTATAAAGCATTTCCCAAATTCAGTATGACAAGAAATTTTATGAACTCATGAGAAATTCAACCTCCATAAGCCAGCTTAATGAAGATAATTCTGAGATGTGTATACTTAATCCTTCAATTGCAAAAATAAATAGTATGCTTTTAGTCAGAAGAGTATTTTAACTGGTTATTTTAGAAGGCAGTTTTAATTTCTCAACATATGAGCTATTAAAAAGTTGGTGATAAACATAAAAATCAGTTCTCAAAATTCTATGCATTATTTTTCTATCATATTAGTAGTAAAAGATTTCATAATTTTGACTTTCACAGGAAAAGCCAATGTTTAAAAATTACTAATTTCTTGAATAGCTAACAGAATATTTCAAAATAAAATAAAAACAAAAAACATAAAATTGTATCATCTTAGAATACACACATCTATATATTATAAACTCAAATTTATAGCATTAGTTATGTAACAGTTAATTAAGAATAATGAAAATATGTTGAGAAATAAGACAAATTTAAGTTGTGGGGAGGGGAGTTATCACTTTATCGCAGTTTACAATTTGGTATGTTTCTGATTTTGATATGATTTTATAGTAACAAACCCTGATTGAGAGAGAGAAATACTTGGAAATTCATACCTTTTTCTTTAATAGCTCACTGTATAATCTTATTATATTATTTAATGTAAAACATTCAGATGTTTTTAAAAAGGAAAATCACTAATAATATCTAACAACTTCTCCTATTCCTTAATAATTGAAGCAAAATCCTTAAGTAGTCAAGTTTCTAGAACTAGATAAAGAGGTTTTCAATCATTTATAGCTAGAAAAATGTATTTTTTCCAATTTATCTTATAAATATTTTTCGATCTTAAAATACTTATCTTAATGTTTATTCTTATAGACACTCTTAAATTTACTGGAGTAATTTCAATGTTATTACTAGTATTTTATCTGCAATTTAAAGCATAGATCTTTATACTCTGTAATTGTTAAGTGTGCTTATTCAGTTTATTCAAAGGCAGATATGGAGCCCCTTAAAATTATAATAAACAAGAAAACCATAAGCATTCTAGTTCAAGGTGCTGGACTCAACAAATGTGAAAAATAGTCAGAAAACAGAATAAAAACGGTGAACACAAGGCACTTCTAGAAAAAATATAAAGTTGTTATTAGGGGATTAAATGTGGAAAAAATTATCTAAGCTAAGAATAAAAGAGGACTAGATTTCTTGAGATAACAGAAATATAAGAGAGAATCGTAACCTAAACACCAGAGCTAAGTTCCTTTCAAAGAAAGCTGAGAGCTTCAGAATCAAACTAAAAATATTTTAAAAGTACAAAATGGCCATAGGATAATCATCTCAGGATTCAGAGAAATGCAGTTCAAATACCTGGGGCAATCACATCCTCTAACCTTTCCAGTGTACACAACTGCTGACAGCAGCCTGCCTAAGACATGTATTTATGTGAGTTTAAAGTTTAAAACACTAAATGGAAGGAATATTTAAGCTTGAAGTACTTCCATATAAAAATGAGATACTCAAAAAACAAACAAAAAAGAAGACAGCTCAGCCCAGATGTAACATTCACTACATTAATCCAATTTCAGAATAAAACTCTTCTAAAGTGATTATAAGAGTTCCCAGTATGCCTAACTTTCACTATCAGGGTGCCCTTTAGAGATGTCTACCTGTTGACAAATCTCTGCAACTTGGAGTGAGTTGTCAGTTGTTTCATTCAAGGCAGAGACCATTTTGTGAAACCGAAAGGTAATTTACACGACATAATTAACCTAGTCTTTCATTCAAAAGCATGAACTAAGAATCATCAGAAATTTGAGAGCAACTATGAGTATGAAATAGATGGACCAAAATGAGCACACAGAACAAATGACCCAGAAAGAAACAGACTTATTTCAGGCAGTAAAAGAGGACATTAAAAATTCAAATTAATATCCCTTGAGAAATGGAAGAAGACATTGTATCTCTAAGAAAATAACCAGCTGTTATGAAAGAGCAACCAGAGAATAAAAAGAGTTCTTAGAAATTAAGAAATGATAAAACTCATTTAAACAATTAAATGAATAAACTGAATAATAGAATATGTCAGACAAAAGATTAAGCAGATAATGAAAATATTAAACATGAAGAAATCTTTCATAACAGACGAAAAATGATAATGATGGTAAATACAACAGAAAGGTTATGACACATGAATGCAAGAGGATACATTAATCTAATTAAGGTAAAGAAGCATAGAGAGAGATAGTGAAGAGAAGATATAACTGAAGAAATAATAGAGAAAAATAAATTGAAAAAATAAAATTGCATATTAGTCTTCATATTTAAAAGGTCAATGTCATACTGAGAAAGTAGTCTTTCTAGTGAAATTTCCAGAAAGAAAAATGTAGTCTACATTTTTAAGGAAAGGGCAATCAGATCAGATTCAAATTTCTCATAGTAATACTGAATCTTAACATATTGCATTATATTCTTTAAAACATTTGAAAGGAAATTTAATCTATACAGAGAATTATCTACTCTAACCCTCAAATAAGTATAAGAAAAAAATAGATCTTCTGGGACATGTAAATTTACCATCCATTCAGTATATGTATAGTGTGTGTGTGTGTGTGTGTGTGTGTGTGTAGATTTCAAAGTAACAAGCCTGTGTAAAATGTTAAATTAATAGATTTTTTTCTTAAATACTAGTAACTGTAACCTAGAAGAAATGAATAAAATCTATTGGCCCTGGACACTTCAGATCTTTTACATTTAGCAGCAGAAATTAAGTGAAATGAGATCATAATTTTGTCTTCATGGATCTACCCACAGTTCTTGGTTCACAAACATATTTCTATGGTGAGTAGTTATATGACTTGATGGTTGTGACAATATCTGGCTTATCACAGGCAGTGTTAGATGCATGATCTCTTGATATCCAGTGGCCAGATGTTCAGTTTGCCCACTAGCATGCCAGCAACTGCTGAATATAGTAGAAAGGATAGTTCTCTACTAGAGGTGGCATTGCCTTGCCCTAGAACCCTAAAGATCTATAAAGCAACTCTACCATTGCAGCTTTCCAAAGAAAAAGGAAGTCTCTTTTGCTACCCTAGATAACCTCCAGTATGATCGGACCTATCAGTTCTTATATTCTAAATGATATGGCTGTCTGTCCTCAGCCTAGACCTGATGCCAAGTCATTTTTGCTCTGGGGCCCACTAAAAGCTAGCAGTTGTTCACCTAAAATCTATTGTAGCAGCATTATCACATGTGGAATATGCCAAAAACCATACCAAATGTTAATCTTCTCCTGAAAACTTCATCACTGAATCTTTATAGTGCTTAATTTATCACATTTTTTAGCACATGTGTTTTACGATACAACACAAGTGCTTGCTATCTATTGCTCATAGGTCTGATTAAGATAATATTAATATAGTGAGCAAGTATGATGCTTTGCAGAATCTCCAGATGGCCCAGGTCCCTTGGGACTATATTATGACCAAAAGCAACAACATGAGGTTTCTCTTAACAGCTACGTATGACAGATTCAATAGGACGTTCAGGAAACTGAGAAATGTTTACTAGTTAGGCTTGTGGATCAAGTGGACACACTATGACATGAACTTTGGCTATATTCATTTACTATTTGACCCCTCTACGTCTGTATCCCAATGGGAGACCAGGATGGTGCTTTGGATCTCTATCTCTCAGAGTCAACTCATATACCATGTGTTCTGCCGTTAGCCATGAACTTTAGAGAAGCTAAGACTGAGCTTTCAATAATACCCATTCTAAGGAAAATGTGGTACATATACACCATGGAATACAACACAGCCACAAAAGAGAATGAGATCATGTCTTTTGCAGCAACATGGATGCAGTAGGAGGCCACTATCCTAAGCAAACTAATGCAGGAACAGAAAACCAAATACTACATGTTCTCACTTAAAAGTGGAGGCTAAACGTTAAGAACACATGGACACAAAGAAAGGAACAAACAACAAACACCAGGGCCTACTTGAGGGTAGAGGGTGAAAGGAGGGAGAGGATTAGAAAGCTTCCTGCCAGGTACTACGCTGATTACATGGGTGACAAAATAATCTGTACATCAAACCCCTGTGACATTCAATTTACCTGTGTTATAAACCTGCACTAGTACCCCTGAACCTAAAAGTTAAAAAAAAATGCTTGTTTTCCTCACCAATACACTCTTTATTGGACTAACCTCTGGGACCACCCAAGCAAGGTAGTTAACATATGGATTTTCTGGTCTTCTTTAGGAAATTTATTCCAGCATGCTACTTTTCTGATTCTTTTTATTTACTTCTCAATAGATTACAAAGGCAGCTCTGCCATCCCTACTTTACTTAATGAATATAAATACTTTTTCCATTAATTCAAGAGATCCTTTGTGAGGATATTAAATTCTTTGTCAACAGAGAGTACTCCAATGTTGGTAAACCTCCCCAGCCAGGTTTATATTCTGCCCAACCTGTTGGCACCTCTCATGATTCCTTCCAGTCCCGCTTCTCTGGTTCCTGCTTGTAGCTCCTTTCATAGACAAAACTGGTCCATCCTAATTAGGTACACTACTTTCTGGTTGGGTCAGACTTAAGATTTGCCTTTAATTAAGAGTCTGTGGCTCCAAAGGGCATTTGTAGGCACATCTTGAGGAAAGCAAGTATTATTTTGTCTGTTCCTCCCTAATTTGAATTTCCTATGTTGTTTTAAGCAAGAAACTGGGAGGGGAGTATATCTTTCAAGGAGTTGACCTTGAGAGTTCCACAGAACCTCAAGCTTCAAGATTCTCAGGTACACCTGTCCAGACACCCCTTTCAAAATTTCAGTGGCTTATTACTTCCATATCAGTCCCTAGTCTGACATAGAAGATTTGCTTAAGCTAAGAATTCAGGCCTTTCTGAAGTTATGCCACTCTTACAGATAATGTGCTGGGCTTAAAATTTAATGGTTCTGCCCTAGGACTTCAGGAGGTGAGGCTTTCTTTAAATGCTGGCAAGAAAGACTCCTGACTCTCCCTTTGCTTTAAGGCTTTGGTTAATAGAGCCTGTTATTTTCTCCAATATATGGATGCTCAGCAACAAGCATCCACTTCCACAGTTCTTATTTTTTAAATTTCCATAACACATTTCAAACACTGGAGACATTGTACCAGACAGTGTGTCCTGTTTCACTCACATACCATCCCACTTCTCCCCAGCTGTAGCATGATGGGATCCATCAATCCCTCACTTGTCATAGTGATATAATATTCCAAGTCAAACAAACAGTAAAGGACTCATTTCCAGAATGTCACTCTTACTGCTCCCGAGGGACCACTCCTTACCAACTATTTTAAGTGAGGTTCTGTAGAAGAAGTGACTGAGATGGGGATTCTTATGCATGCCATTTATTGGGGAAGTACACTTAGATTAGGAGAACAAGGGACCTAGGATAGGTCAGGGAAGCTCAGGGATAATGAAAGCATAGCTGGAAACTAGCTTTATTCTGAAGCACCGTTAGACCAAATTATCAGTCACACCTGTGACAAGGGATTTGGCATTTGTTTTTTGAAGTGGGGGTCTCATTTTACATTGCCCAGGCTGCCCTTGAGCTCCTGGGATCAAGTGATTCACCCGAGTAGCTGGGACTACAGGTGCACACCATTGTGCCAGGCACATGTCTGGCATTTTGTACCACTAAAAAAGTCAGTCATTGGCTAAGCTCTAAATGGGCAGAAAGGGGAGGCATAAACTCCTGTGTGATGGGATCATGGGGAATTCTCCAGAAAAGAGGATTGGCTTTAGTTTTTATTAACTAAAACACCTAGAAACTGAGGGTTAAGTGCATCAATCTGCAAAGGAAATTGGGAAGGACACCAAGGATTTCTGCTGCATGCTTTTTAAAATGCTTTTTCCTAAATTATCATGCCAAGGAAAAAGCATGGGACTAGGAGATGAGCCTGTGTCCTGCCTGGTATTTATTTGATTCAGTATAACAGACAGATGCTGGACTGTTGTATTTTCTTCCACAGTTTTATGTGAGCAGACAGATGCTAGAGTTTTGTATTTTCTTTTATGATTTTATGTGAGCTGAAACTAAAAAAATGACCACTGTATGACTATAATCTTTCTAATCAATGAAACATTTATCAAATATGGTGAGAGAAGTTTATTTAAAGAAGTACACCAAAATTATGACAGCCCTTAGTTAAAATACTGGTGGTTTCCAATGCATATTTTTAAATTACTATCATTTGAATTGTTCATAAAGTGAATATTTTAATTTATATTGCAATCCATTATATATTTGGACTTTGTAGGCTGTCTGAACCTTCTTGCCAAGTTATAGGTAACCAAAAACATCTTTACAAAGCTCTCTAACAGAACAATGTGAATGTAGGAAAAGCAGCTCCAGCACTCTTGTCAACATTCTGTGCCTTCATGTAAGTATTAAATAGCAGATCTCAATTTATTCTTTGTGTGTGTGTTCTAGTTTGTTTGCTCATATCTTCATAATACACAAAGGTGGGTTGATCCTCCCTTTACCTCCTGGACCTGTTCAGAACAAAAATTGCTTAAGCAGTATTCATGATTAGAAACTATACTCTTCATTTCCCATATTAGGCAGTAGATAGATCTTATTCCCCCATGTGCTATCACATTATCATTTCTTCTCTCTCATTGTCCATGAGCCCTAACAAGTCTTAATATATATAACAGTGAATCTGCCCTCAGTTCACAGATGGATACTTGCTCTTATATATCCCACTTTTGTAAATGAACAATAATTGGGCCAAGCCCTTGTAGAGTGCATCAAATATCAAATAGCCGATATTTTATTTCCCCCTTCTAAAGGAACATCACTGGAGAAATTTTCTTTTCCATGAAGAAAATTCAAATGACACATTATTTCAGACCAAAGCCTAAAACATGTACAGATTAGAAAGTAAATAAACATATAGTAAATGCTAATTCTTTCCTTGTGAATAGTTATTTGTGTTTTCACTATTTAATGAAGTTATGGACTGTGGCCTTTCTGTGAAAGTACAGTAATTAGGAATCAATTATACTTTACATTGAAACTCTGGTTACTCTGCCACTGTGGGATAATTGGGAAATAACTATATTGTCATTTTTATGTATTTTGGCTACATTGAATCACAGAGTTTTAGTGGTGAGGCACTGGCAAATTGCACATGCGTTTGTTCATATTAGGTCACGGTACATGAAGACAGTGTAAAAAAACTGCTCACTCAGAATGAACTGTGAAGATAATGTGTGAGTTCAAGCAACTATGCAAAGATAGTGAGGGCTTCTCAATTAATTTCCATTCTCAAAGCAATTAGTGCCACTTAATAGAATGTGGTGCAATATCAGAAAATAGATCTAAACGTCTTGCTGGTTTTCTTGATTTTTTAATTTGATTACTAAAATAAACTAAAAAATTCAGATTAAAGAATTTGTTTTGGGGGCAGGAAAGGTTTTTCTGAGAATAATTTTTTATTTAAAATACAAATGCTTTGAGAATAATACATCAAAATAAATAAATATAAATATAAATATGTTGGCTTTCACTGCTTTGAAGAGATTTTCAATTGAAACTTTATTTATTTATGTATTTATTTATTTATTTATTGAGACAGAGTCTCACTCTGTCGCCAGGCTGGAGTGCAGTGGTGCGATCTCGGCTCACTGCAACCTCCACCTCCCGGGTTCAAGCGATTCTTCTGCCTCAGCCTCTGGAGTAGCTGGGACTACAGGCACGCACCACCACACCCAGCTAGTTTTTGTATTTTTAGTAGAGACGGGGTTTCACCATGTTGGCCTCCCAAAGTGCCGGGATTGCAAGCGTGAGCCACCACGCCCGGCCTATATTGAAACTTTTTAAAGATAATATTATCTGCTTATAATGTTACTGGGAACAAAACCTTGGGATATTAGATAAATATTTTGTTTCCTTATTGTTTATCTGTATTTAGTTTATTTCTAGCACTGATACTGCTAACCAGGTCTCACAGGGAAAGCCAGTGGTGATAAACATTGAGTGGGGATATCAGTTGAAGATTCTACTAAGACTGCTATAAGAATTTCCACATTAAGAGTAAATAGGTAGTTGCTTACTTTCTGAAAACAAAGCAAAGGTAAACCAGCATTTATAATCCATTGTTTGGAGCACCTGTCCCAAATGTTGGAAAGTGAGATAAGTTTGGCATGCAAACTATTGTTTTTTTTTTTTTTTAAATTTCCTTTCGTTTCCTTTTCTCTTTTTTCTCACTTTTTAAACTTTAAAAATAATGTCAGTCATTTAATAAAATAGATTTCAGACTCATCACAAATAAGTGGTTATAAAATGTAGCAGCAAAAATTTAGTTACATGTAAATTTACATCTACAGGTAAAGGTCAGCTAAAGGATTTTTCAACTGCAAAGAGTAACCCTATCTTCTACTTTGAAAATTATCGTGGTTTGCAGCATCCTCAGTCTGAAGGATCTACATAACATTACAAGGAAATTGTACTTTTAACATGGTCAAAGTGAAAAAACGTAAGCTTCTCAACACATCTGGATTGCAAACGTTTCATGAAAACATTGTTCAGATACAAATAGATCCCATTCTGTGCTTTTAAATGTAGTATGTACTTTCCTCCAATGGGTGGAAGATTATGTATAATAGCGAGAGTTGTGGTCCTTAAAATAAATTGAAAGCATTGTTCCAGAGCTGCCTTCACTAATACTACCCCTATTATCTTCAATTAGACTAGCCCACCAAATGAGGCAGTACAAACACCCTATAGACATCAAACTGTTCTAAAAGCCAGGTACACTTGATCACTGATTACACAATTACTTAAGAGGGGGAATCCAAGAACAAAACATAAGTAATAAAGAATAGAAGATTTGTGTTTTTAATTGTAAACAAACTAAATTAAGTAAAACACAGAATTATCACTGTGAACAGAAGAATATAACAGAAATTGCCTCAAATGTGACTCTACAAAGCATTATTTAGTAGTCAACTGACTTACATCATTTAACGATAGAAAATTAAGACAATGGGCACGAATATGTTTTTCTCTTCCTGAGATACAATTTGGTTCTCTTTCTTTAATTTGTGTAATTGTGAAATTAAATTTAAAGATGGTGAAAGAAGTAAATTATTTAAAATGACTTCTGCTGGAAAAATTCAAAGAGTAAATAAATATTATTATATCTATTTGTACCATTTTTTCTGAAAAGCCAAAAAGCAGTAAAAATAGGTCACCTTGAATACACAGAATGACAGTAATATTAGCCTCCATCTATCCCCTTGAAATGGGAGAAAATCTAATGTAGTAATAATTTTATGATTATACAAGTTTGTAAATTATAGATTTCCATTTTTCCCAAGTATTTCTCAAAGTTAAATGTATAATATAAGCATTTTTTTCTGAATTACTCTATTTCTATCGGTTAAAGTAAGTCCTAGTTTTTACTGGAGACATGTTCGGGAACAACTGAAATATTCAGTTGAAAATGGCAGTTTCATAAGAGTTAATCCAAACTATTAACTAGTATTTGTTTTCTGAGAAGGTGTCAGCATAGCAATTTTACATGTAAAGGGAGAAGATTACTGATACAAATGAGCTTTGAGACAGCTGGGGCTCTGAAGAATTCTCAGCAATATATTACTTCCATCTTAGTGTACACTTATGCATGATTATCTTCGTAGTTTCAAATCAACGTATCTTCATTCCTGGTAACGGCTTTTAGGTGATTCTGTGCTGGGTTTTGAACAAATATTCAATAGTTTGAAAACACTTTACAGTGGAGGAGAAATGGTAGGAAATTGTGGTTACTAGATCGCACATGCAAGAGAAATGATCAGAATGATTTTGTGAAGATCGGGAGAGTAATTCTAGCTCTTAGCAGAGCAGAGTGGATCAGGGAACCATCTATCTGGTCTGTTCATGTCTATAATTGAGCAATGACAATGTTTATGTATTCTTAAGCATAACAGGAAAACAGCCAACTTTTGACCTATTGCCAGTCAGTAATTTGTTACATATTAGACCTCTGACCTGGAGCTTCATACACATTCTTTGCAAGAAAACTTAGATTATGTTTAAGATTAATGCTCTTGTTTTTTCAGCTGTATTTTCTTTAGCAAAATGCTGCATTATTCTCATTGTAATGGATGATCCAGTATTTCATAGAAAATAAATCAACCTTAAAGAAAAACTATAAGACCAGACATTACAGGATGAGAAAGTATCAATTTACAAATAAAAAAAAGTTTAAAAATCTTAAAAGTATTTTACACAGAGTCACAAGGCAAGCTAGTAGAAATGCTGGAAATAGAATGTGTATCTCTGGTTTCCTAAGTCAATTTTTATGCCAGTTAATTATATCTCAAAGCAATACACATCTGTTTGAGAAAATATACATGATTCTATAAATGATGTTTTCTCATTACTCCTATTGAATCTGGATTGGCATTAGCAACCTTATTCAACAGATATTTTAAATCAGATTAATGTATTTGGACTCAGGACATTTTGTAATATTTCTCAAAATATCACTTTTATTAAATTCTATTTTTGTGGTTATATACCCCAATGGCTCTTATTTCCTTGTGGAATAGAGTAGAAATTCCTCAATCTAGCATTAAAGTCTTTGTGGAAATGATCTGATCAAATTTTGACATATTTCTATGTATGCCCTACTACACATAGTGAGACAGTATTGTGTGTTGGTTAGAAAAACTAAAAAGTAAAAGCACCTTGGGTAGCACAGCTTGACCCCAAATCCTTGTTCTGCTGTGTCAATCAGTGGTCAAAGTACTTATCCACCTTGATCAGGAACTAAAGAAAAAAATGTAGAGCTTACTTCATATGACTGTTGGAACATTAAATTAGATGAGAAAAAACAGATTAATATGTGTGTGTGTGTGTGTGTGTGTGTATATATATACACACACGTATATACCTTTTCTACGTGTATAGTTATACAGTGGCTTAATTTCTCACAAACTGATTCATACTCACTTTCTTTCCATGTTGTCACTTTGTTAATGCTATTTCTCTTTCACAGAATAATCCCTAAGTCCTGGCACATATTCTTCTCTTCTGTAAAGCCCTCAACTTTCTAGATTAAATGAATGCTCTTGGGAGTTACCTGAAGTTCCCAAATTTAAGTGAGTTGATCCATTATACTAGTCATCCATTGCTGCATAACAAATCACTACAAATTTAACAGCTTGAAGTTACAAATACATATTTTCTTACAGCTTCTGTGTGTCAAGAATTCAGTCACAATTTAAATTTGTCATCACAAGGCTACTATTAAGGTGTTGATGAGGATTGGAACTCAAGCTTTCTCTGAGTTCCAATCCTCATCAACACATTATAATAATTATCCTGGTTTGCAATTAAAGGAAAAGAATGAATGTTTCCTTTATGCAAGTCAAACTTCACATATATAAAATAAAGTGTTTTGTGAGGTTAAGAAACACATAGAGTTAGTTAGCTATATTCTTGAAATGAATCAAGCTTTTGAAGAATTCAAAATAATTATATTTATTATTTTATTCTGGCCATCTTAAGTTCTTTCTTTTTTAAGTTTTTTGATAATAAATCTGATGATTTCTTGCTATGCTTGTATGCCACTGATACTTTCCAAGATATTTATTTCCATAGTCCATTTTCTTCAGTTGAGATATGTACCTATTTTCATACTAATTTGTTTTTATACAGATTACAAAATATTTTCACCACCTCTTAGATATCATGTTTAGTTTATATTTCATTTAAATTTTAGGACATTTTCCCATGAAGAACTTTTCTTAATTTTTATTTTGTAAAAGTTATTAATGTTTTTTCTTTCTTTATTTTGTACAGGGCTCAAGAAAGTCCTTATGTGGCATATTAGGACTATTAGATTTAGGACTAGTAGATTTAGTCCTAATCTAAATATAGATTGATATACGTATTAATCTATATTTTATTCTAGAACTAGTATTGTCTTACACATATTTAGCATATGCAGAATTTATTTTGCTGTAAGATGTAACAGGTCTAAATTACTTTTCCAAGTGACTAACAGTTTTTAAACACCATATTCTTTATAATCTCTTGCCCCATTACTGCTTTGACAGCCATTATTATTTCAGTCTTTTTATTTACTTCCACTGATCTGTTTCTGCATTTGTTCTACAAAGTCTTAAATTTTGTAGTTTTCTATGCTTAAAATATGATAAAGTAAGTTGTGTATATTGTCCTTATTTTACAAAAATTTCCCTGCAGACTTTTTAAAACTCTAGGTGAAATTTCTATTCTTTTTGATATGTAGCCATTTCCTAGTAAACTTATTCTGAAATATTGTCTTTGTTATGTAATACAGATTTTAAATAATTTTTGATATATATCTTTGCATATCTGTTTAAATATGCATGTATATATTTTTGCTTTGTAATATCAGGAAGAAAATGACTTTATTTATTTTATTAAACTCACATATTGTTCCTAGTATCTTTTCAGATGTGTGGTTAGTACAGTGGAAATAAAATTTCAAGAAGGAAAAACAATAATGTTTGCCACCTCTTAAAGAGAAGCTTTTTCATATTTTAAAAATAGATGGCCATATATACTTAGTGTTCTGATCACCTCCTATTTATCTCACTGCTGAGGGAAGCATCCCCACCCTGAATAGGGTGAAATGGAAAACACACAACACTTGACATGGGACAAATGAGATTAATAGCAGTCTGTTAGTCACATATACTCATAACCTGAGAAGGAAGGAGACATTGCATACCTCACAGAGCCACAAAGTCATTGCATTCTGGAGCAAAGTGAACAAGCAGGGGCTATGGGAGGCAGTCTTTTTAGAAGAGGTTAGAGTGCTCCTCATCTAGCAGACAATATGAAACCCATTAGATAGAAGTTGGGTGAATGCAGTTAGTTCAGCTAATATGAAAACTAGTCAGGTAGAGAAACTTTCCCACTGGATAGGTGACATATCTGAGGAGAGCAAATGTCCTTAGGGCCCTGTGAGGTCCAAGACGTTGAGACAACAGATGAAATTTTAGGCCATGTATTTACAATTGACCACTTAATTCCATCCCATCAAATATCCACGTTAGTGATGGCTAATATTTTTAGTAGGAAGTACCTCCCTAGGAAGTGCAGCAGACGCTTAACTGGGAGGGCCACATGGTGAGATGGTTGTTGAAAATTTGAACTTTAGAGATGTCCCCTTTATGGCCGATAAAGGCAATTGAGGAACCTCTATGGCATTGATGTAAGGAATGTGTTATCCTTGGTAAGCATAAATTTAGGCTAACTGATGTCTGTGATAAAAATGATACAAACGAGGGTTTATTTGCCATTTTGAAACTTAATAGGTATGAGGAGGTTGATGGGCCTCTTTATGAAGACCAGCAATTTAGAACCTGCAATAGAGAGGGAATTTCCATTGAATGCTTTCTTCAAGAGCTCAGCATAATATATTTTGAGAAGTAGAGTAAGTATCTTGGTTACTGTTAGTAATATCTAGAACTCCAAAGAGAATAGAACATCCTGGTGATGCCTTGTATTGTGGCCTTAGCATATATTACTTTTAATTATATTTGGAGTATCTGTGAGGCAAGAGATTCCTGGAGTTTTTTACTCCAAAGGGGGCAAATTTAGACACAAATTGTTGCAGCCACTGGCCAAACAAAACAACCAGATCATTGGCAGGGGCCCAGTGTTTGGCAAAAACAGGCAGATAAGACCAGTCATTAACCAGGGCATCCAGAACTATAGTGACTGTCTGATATTTGTCCAATTGTGCTAACTCTAGGGTTTCCTTCTTTATCAGGAACATCCACATTAAAAGATAGAAAACAGCAACATTCCACTAAGTTCCATCACATTCAATGATGGCAATCAACCCTATCTGTAAAGTCTATGAACTTCCACTGCTGTTCACTCAGTTAACCCCACAGGCAATGTTCAGGTAGCCAACGAGTCTGTGAGAGGAGTAGCCTCTTCTAGCTCTGTGGCCTCAGACAATGGACTGAGTAAGGATATGAGATGCCATCCATCCTGCAGGTATGTTATTCCAGCAGTCATAGATGTGGTTTCATCTTGTGGCAAAGAGATTCTGGTGATTATAGTCTAAGTTTTTAACAATATTGGGTATTGACTGTAGAGTGTGTAAATGGATGGAACCATAGCATTGTGTAATTCACCTTGAGTAGCTATTTAATCTTTTTTAAGTTTAAGAAAAGGCCAAACTAAACTATCAGATGGAGAAATTATATACTCTTCCTTGTATTTATTGTATCTAATATAATAAGTTTCAATTCTTGAATGCTTGTTTTAACTTACATTGGGTTATATTAACTATTTTAACTGGTGGCAGGGGTCTGTGGGTTCCCATTTTGTCAAGGCCATTTGTAAGAGCCAAAGATTCAATTTAATTTTAATGTAATCATTAAGTCAGAGCAACAGGGCCTGCTATGAGATGTTTTAGAACAATGGGTGCTATCACTATGGAAAATTTAGAAAATGCAATAAGGCATATTTATTTGCCCTCTATTTTATATTTAGTAGTCCCCCTAAGATTACAGGGGAGACTATGTTCAAATTCAGTAGGATTCCCAAATCCAGTATTGATTAAGTCCATGAAGCCTTGCTAATTGGTATATTTCAGCAGTTGTTGAAGCTAATTGAGAGCCTATATTGTAAATGTGCAAGAGCAAATCTTCACCTTTTATCTTTTTGTTTGTCAGAGCTAGTTGAGAGTTGGGAGTTTTGCTTTAACTAGGGTGCCTGGGGAAGATCTAACTCTCAGTCTATATGCTTAGGATTGTAAAACTTATGTCATTGAAGATGTACAATCTACAAGTTACTTAACAAAAATACATACTAGCAAGGGAAGCCTATATTGTTAGGGGAATATTTTGGCACTATTTGTTAGAACTCTTGTAAAGAATAAGTTTGTCACGTTAGATGCATTATTTCTTCTAACTGCAGATAACATGGCTGGAAAGTTGGTTTTGTGCAAGGAAGTTGATTTCAAGTCATGGGCAAAAGATTAGTCATGAATATAGAATCATTCAGTCATACAAATCTATTTTATGTCCATATGTTTTTATGGGCCTTAATTAAGATTACTCATACTAACAAATCAAAGAAAACACAGACACCCTATATTAGAGTATACAAGACTCATTCCATTGAAGTAGTACATTTATATTTCCTTTGAAGACACAGCAGATCCATCATCATAAATTTGTGTATACTTAATATAACATTGGGTTTTTTATGGGGATTTTATTGACTTTAACATTTATGAAATGGTAGCCATTTTAACTCCATGTATTCAGTCATACTGATTTTTTTCAACCCAGTACCATTGCTACAGCAGTATTCCATTTAAAAATTGTAGACTAGAGCAGTTGTCTACTGGCAATTTTTATTGATTATGCACAGAAATTTGAATTCATGGAACAGCAGAATACTATAAGCATCAGGTTTTTAATTTAATATTGGTTTCAATTTTTAAACACTCATAGTGTTTGCCTATCATTAAGAAATCGTCTTAAAGAAGTCAGCATTCATAGAAAAGCTAACATGGGAAAGTATTTTTTGCATAGAAATATAAACCTGTTGTCCAATGAAAATTAGTATTAAAAATAAATAAATATCAGTGGAACTATATTTCATCAAGTAAGATAAATGCATAGTGTTCGAATTAGCCATATCTTTCTTTATTCTACCTACCTACCTACCTATCTAGTATATATAACAACTGAATTATAAAAGAGCATAAACCAAAAGCTCAAATAAAAAGAAAAACAAATAAAAAATAAAATCACTGAAAATCAAAAGAATGCAAATGAAAACAATAAAACCATGTGAAAACTTTTGTCTATTAAATAAAAATACTTAAATGCCAAGTATTGCAGCTGCAAAAACTGTTAGTATAACTGTATTAAAAACAGTTCATTCTCAATCTTATTCCACAAAAAAATTTAAGACTATTTCTAAAAATACATAACATAGTAAAAACAAATGCAGTCCTGTGCCACATGATGAAGTTTCAGTCAACGACAGACTGTATGTACAATGGTGGTGTCATAAGATTATAATGGAGCTACTAAAATTTCCTATTGCCTAGTATTTACTGTTTTGTACTTCTTATCAATATATTAGAGTGTACTCCTTCTACTTATAAAAAAAAATGCTACCAATAAAACAGTCTCAGGCAGGTCCTGCCGGAGATATCCAGAAGAAGGCATTGTTATCATAGCTGAGAGCTCCATACGTGTTATTGTCCCTGAAGAGTTTCCAGTGGAACAAGATGTGGAGGTGGAAAACAGCAATATTGATAATCTTGACTTTGTGTAGGCCTACGCTAATGTTTGTGTTTGTGACTTCATTTTTAGCAAAAAAGAAAAGTTTAAAAACCAAAACATAAAAAAATTAAAAATAGATAAAAGATTATAGAATATGAGCATGAAGAAAAAAAATTTGTACACCTGTACTTTGTGTTTGTGTTTTAAGCTATGTGTGATTACAAAAGAGGCAAATAGTTTTAAAAATTAAAAGTTTATAAAGTAAAAAAATTACAGTAAGATATGGTTAATTTATTATCGAATAAACAGCTATTTTATATAAATTTTGTGTAGCTTAAGTGTACATTGTTTAGCAAGTCTACAGTAGTGTATAATAATGTCACAAGCCTTCACATTAACTCACGACTCACTCACTGACTTGTCCAGAGCAACTTCAAGCCCTGCAAGTTGCGTTCATGGTCAGTTCTCTTTACAGGTATGCCATTTTAATCTTTTGTGACATATTTTTACTGTACCTTCTTTATATTTTAGATATGTTTGGATACACAAATGTACAGTATTCTGTACAGTAAAGTGCTCTACAGATTTGTAGCCTAGCAGCAATAGGCTATACCATATAGCCTAGGTATACAGTAGGTTATACCATCTGGATTTGTGTAAGCGCATTTTATGATGTTCACACAATGACAAATTGCCTAAGGATGCATTTCTCAAAATATACATTTTCTAATAAGTGACATGTGACTATAAATTGTTTTGAAAGTTGGACAAAGGGAATATATGGGTAGGCAAAAGAAACAATAGAAATACTGGCACATAAAATTGCATCATGTAATTTCCTTTATATGTATTAGAGGTGACCAAAATATTTGGCTCAGATTTCTTAGTGAGAAAAAAAAGGAAAAAGGAGATTAGATAAAGTAATTAAAATGTCCAAACATAAAATCAAAACATTAATCAAGATAGTTCTTCCTGATACTAGACTGAAGGGAAAAGGCATATTTCAGATGTCTCCTGAAGAGTATACTAGAGGATTAGAGTATATTCTCAACTACATCTCTACCATAACTATAATTTTGATTCTTATAAGTTCTGATTCTCATAAAACTATTTGTCAAAGCCTTCATCACTGCAAGCTGATAGCATACGGCATATCATAAATCAGTAAACTCTAAAAGAAGCCAAATTAAAGCTGTTTCATAGACAAATTTCATATTAATCTCAGGAATAATATTTAAAATATCTAAATAAATATACATGCTGCAGGTGTATACCCCTTATACAATGTTCCTAAAAGCTTAGGAGCAGCTCACTTAAAATTGACAAACAGTAATCAATCTTCCCTTATGTCTGCCAAAATAATTCCACTAATATGCTAGCACAACGAATTATTTCCTTTGGGAATTCAACTAGCTACATTCCAAAAGATGAAACTTAATCTTCTGGAGGCACCCTACAAAAAATTCCTCTGGTAGGAAAGAAAATCACCACTGGACAGCACGAGAAGGTCCAGGAAGAACTATGAGAACTGAAAGGTCTATTGGAGTCAACCTTGACTGTTACAGGTACATTATACCTCTTCAATATATCAGTAATGAGGAAAAGCTCTTAGGTAAATTGAGCAGATGGTGTCATCTACATAAGCAGATAAAAGTATCACCTCATTTCTAGGCTAAAAGGATAAGATAGATCAGTACTTTGGCTAAGCATGTGTTGATATATATGACACTTGTAGATAATATTATTGTTACCTCCTCAAAGAGTTTTTATCTTAATGTTTAATAGGAGAAGCTGCTCCTAAATACAAATATTTTTTTCTTACAAAAATTCTGGTTACCTATAAATCAGTAATTTGAAGAAAGAGCTTCAGTGAAAGCTTACCGATTAACTTTCATAGCTGTAGAAGTTGACATTTTAATGATGTGTTTACAAAAATTGGGGCCAAATCGCCAAAGTATTAGCACCTGCTATGGGCAGGTGAGGATCAATGACTATAAGTAGGTTTAAGGTTTTTGAAAAGGGTTATGATGCTCTTTGGAAGTCATTTCATAGTGACATGGTTGTGACACATCTAGTGCTTCCTTTTTAGGAAGGTTAGGAAGGAAGGTCCAAGAACTTGAAGCTCAGATAGACCTATCACCAAACATAATTCACAAGCTAATATATCCCATCACTTATCAGAGTGAGCTCTGACAACTTTGCAATAGAAGGTAGATTCTCATTATGAAAACCAAATATTCTTAATTTTATTTTCTCTTCCAGCAATCTCTCCCATTATTTTTCACTTAAGACTCAAAGTTATTTTCTAACCAGTCTCTCCCTTCCAATCTATTATTTGTACTGTTGCTAAAAATCTTTTTTCTCTATAGTCCAAGGGTGACAGAAAAAGTGAGATGATTTTATTCCTCTTATATTCTCATGTGTATTTAATGTGAAAAAGGTTTTTATATTTTAAATTGTCTTTACTAAAATGATTTATCTGATATTAACTCTAGAAATACAGCGACTTGTTATTTCTACTCTTTTAAATATATTTTGGTGAAAGTCAGTAGAATGTCCCTTAAGTATAGTCCTGGGTATTGTACTGTAATATCAAGTAAAGAGTAGAACTTTAATGTGCCCAAAATTTGATTTTTATGGTGAAAACATCTACCTTTTCCTGAATTACTATAACATGCTTAGCAAAATTTAGCAGTATAATATTTAGAAGATTTCAATAACTCCTTTGCTATTGACATTTTGTAGTAATATTGATATCATTTCAGATTGCATAAGAAAATCAATTACAATTTATATGTCTCACAAAAAATAATAAATCATAAATTAAACATGTTAACCTGCTAATAATAAATTTCAATAAATATGTGACATTTTTCCTCTAACAAATGACACGTGCACTGTCAAAGAACATTTAACATTTCTTTGATTCATGTTTTCCAAATTGACTGTCCCCAGAATAGTGGTAGTTTAAACTCCTATACTATTTTCCATGTCTCATTACCAATGGCTCAAGTTTACAGCTGTTAGATTTCAGAATAACTTTTGATAATATTTTCAAATCAAGAATATTTATACACTCACCTCCCAGTCAGCTCCCATGGATATGAGAAATTGGTTCCAGGGCCTGTTGTGGATACCAAAATACATAGATATTCAAGTCCCTGATCTAAAATGGTGTAGCATTTGCATATAACCTATGCACATTTTCCAGTATACTGTAAGCCATCTCTAGATTACTTACAGTAATATTAACTAATACAATATAAATGCTATGTAAATAGTTGTTATGCTATATCATTTATAGAATAATGAGAAGAAAAATGTCTGTACATCTTCAGTAAAAACAGAACCAGCAATTAAAAAAAAAATTGATCCATAATTGGTTAAACCCATGGATACAGAACCCACAGATACAAAGGCTGACTGTATTTTTTTTTTTCTGAATTGATTTTGAAAACATCATTGCAATGCACTGTTTTCCCAGTCGAGCCTGTGAGCATGAACAGGGTTCCCTCCTCACAACTACTGAGAAAACAAAATTTGTTTTGAGTTTACTTTAAATACTTTCATATCCCTAAGCAAACAAAAATATCAATTCATTTCTAGACTATATGTAAAGTTTCAATTGAGTTACATTAACAAAAACAGTATATTGGGAGCTCTTATCACCACCAAAAATTTCTGGAAATCTAGGTAAGCTATTGAAAGTTTTTCCATCCAGTTATTTTTGGCAGTCCCAACAGGGTGTCTCATATTTGTTACCAATAACCTCTCCATTAAATAGTGTTATATGCAAACTCTGTTCTTTTGTTCTGACTGTTGTAAAGATATACTTTCTGCAGAACCATCAATCAAGAGGGGAGACAGTCAATTCAGATACTGCTTCCACCACCTTTAGCATCCCAAATCTCATGTCGAATCATAAATCACAATGTTGGGGAGGGACCTGGTGGGAGGTGATTGGATCATGGGGGCTTGTTTCTCCTTTGCTGTTCTCATGATAGTGAGTGAGTTGCCATGAGATCTGGTTGTTTAAAAGTGTGTACCACTTCCCCCTTTGCTCTCTCTCTCTCTCTCTCTATCCTGCTGCCATGTGAAGACATGCCTACTTTCCCTTCACCCTTTCCTCATGATTGTAAATTTCCTGAGGGCCCCGCAGCCATGCTTCCTGTACAGCCTGTGGAAATGTGAGTCAATGAAACCTCTTTTCTTCATAAATTACTCAGTTTCAGGCAGTTCTTTATAGCAATGTAAGAGTGGACTAATACAATGATAGCACATGAAAATGAGGTAATATATTTCAAGATGCAGCATGAACCCTAAATCAATGGCGACTATATTGTTCTGTGTGACCACTAGGAAGACTGAATGGATTCAGGGACAAGTGGGTAAAAAGCAGGGTTTGCCTTGCTTACCATCAATCATAATGCTGTGCTTGGGGAATTGTGCTTTCTGTCCTCACAAGACTCAGTATCTAGAGTCTTGAGTCCCACAGAATAGACATAGCCACTGAAAGATAAGAGAATCTGTAAGCTTACAGCTGTTGCAGCCCCCTGTTCTCATTGGGTTCTTTGCTCCAGTAGACCAGCAAGCAGAAATAAATGGCCCTCATCATTAAGGGGAAGTAGGCTGCCATTACATAACTGGGGCAAGGAGGAGTTTGGAACTCTGGTGATCTTCCCACATATCTCTTCATATCCACAACCTGAATTAAGCCAAAAAGGAATAAGAAGAGCAACCAAGGCCTGATAATGGCTTTGTAAAAATGAGTTTAGTCTCCATTCACATGATTATATGGGTCCCCCACCATGTAAACCACCAAGACCTGCAAAAGTGCTTGCTGAAAGGGAGGGCAATCTAGAAAGAATTCTGAAGGAGAGAGATGATGAATATTACTTAGAGCCCCCAGAACAATTATAGCATCTCCCAATTCATGTCTTGTAAGTTTTCTCCGAAATTGGGACCAACCAAAATCCCCCAAAACTATGCCTGGCCACAGTAAATGTACTGTTAGACCTAAATGGGTCTATGCATTGTGTAGTATGAATTATAGTGGATTTTGTTGGTGACCTCCTATATTCCCTTTATCAGACAATGTCACCACACCCCAACTGCTCAGCATTTGAGTTTCCAAGGCTCAGAACTCTCCCATTCTCCAGAGAATAACACAACCGAAGGAGATCCCTTGTACCTCTCACCCACTTACTGAGGTTGCAGTTTGCAGTCAAGGACTGGTGGACTGAAAATGTAGAGTTCCTCTTGGAAGCAGACTGAGGAAAACTTACTGTTTTCCCTGCTCTGCCCTGCTTCCTCATTCTTTCTCCTGAGAGCACTCTTCCAATACATTGCACAAACCTATTTCAGACTACACCCAGAGAACCCAACCTAAAAACATGGAGAAATACTATTTCCACATTTATATAACCTTGAGCTATTCACACAATATTGATGTCTGGAAAAATTGGTAAAACTATATAAAACAAAACAGTTTAAGTCCTAAGTTTTGTGTTTTTTTTTCAATTTCCCCCACTCGGCCACTCCAAGTTCTAACCTTTTAAACTCTGTATTTTCTTTCTTTAGAAGTTATCCTACAAAAATAATCATGCAAAATTTGAAAGAAACAAATGCATAAATGATTCTTACAGCCTTGTATTTAGTGGCAACAATACCGAATGTTCATCAGTATGAGAATGGATTAAATAAATTATAAAACATCCATACATTTAACATCAATGAAACAGAATTAAGTAGACTCATTGATTCTAACACAGAAACATGTCCAACATATGGTAGAAGTAAATCAAAGAGCTTAAGTAGATGTACTTTCATGTCAGCAGAACTGAGTTCTTTTGCAGACTCTGCTTCCTACTGCATGATGGTGAGAAAAGTACTTAACCTATCTAAACCTACATCTCATTTTCTTCATTTTTAAAATTGTTTTTTAATAAGATGTCACATGCAAAGCACTTACCACATAATTAATAGTCAACATAAATTAGCTGTTCTTTTGTTGTTATATTTTAAGTTAAAGTGTTAAGTACGAGAACACTGTGATTCACTGAATGTATTTGGAGTATGTCATAGCATCTTACAATGTAGTTCAGATAGTATTGAAGTTAAAAGATGACCTTGTTTTCAGATTCCTCATGCTAATCTCTTGTTACATCTCTAACTAGTGTGTAACCTTGGGGAAATTTCTTAAACTTTTTAAGCTCCAATTTTCTTATCAGCAAAATGAATACAATAAGAATTCTTATTTGGGAGGCGTTAGTACCCAATAGGCTTCCATGAGATAAAAATTATGATAGCTAATACTTACTTAGTGGCAGATATCATTCTAAATGTTTTACAAGTACATTTCCTCTTTACCTCACTATAGCCCTCAGAGGTGGACATTGTTATAACTACTATTTTACAGATGAAAAATCGAAAGCATAAAATAGTTAACCAGCCAACAGTCATATAGCTAGTCCAAAGTGAATCAGAATTTGAATCCAAGCTGTCAAATTTCACAGGCTGGAACCATAACCACTTTGATATAATGTGATTCCTGACATTTACTAAGGGTTCAACAAAGTGTTGATACCATATTTGCATAGTATATATGTATGCACATGTGTGTTCAAACACACACACATATACACTCACATGTGTGTGTTTGATTGTTCATAGAAAAATCAAATGGAATGAGTTTAATCAATTGTTATTATTACATGTGAATATGTTTCAAGGACATTAGAGGTGGATATTAAGTTTTTAATCAAAATATTTTCATGTTTTAAAATTTTTTAAATGAGCAGGTATTCTTTTGAAACAAGAATGAGAATATAGTTTAAAAATTAAGAAAATTGGCTGGGCGCGGTGGCTCACGCCTGTAATCCCAGCACTTTGGGAGGCCAAGGCGGGTGGATCATGAGGTCAGGAGATCGAGACCATCCTGGCTAACAAGGTGAAACCCCGTCTCTACTAAAAATACAAAAAATTAGCCGGGCGCAGTGGCGGGCGCCTGTAGTCCCAGCTACTCGGGAGGCTGAGGCAGGAGAATGGCGTGAACCCGGGAAGCGGAGCTTGCAGTGAGCCGAGATTGCGCCACTGCAGTCCGCAGTCTGGCCTGGGCGACAGAGCGAGACTCCGTCTAAAAAAAAAAAAAAAAAAAAATTAAGAAAATTATCTCAGTTGAATCCTAAAAATAGATCCAATTAAGTTAAAATTAGTACAGTTAGTTAGTAATAACCAATTATAATTAAAAGTTCAGGAATGACAGGTAGTTAGGAAATGTGGAAAAATCAGACATCTAACCACAGTTCACTAGTGATACAATGCATTTATTAGGTTGGGACAAAATTTAGGTGGTGGCGAGTCACTGGTGTTTTTCAATTAGATAGTTCATCCGCCAGCTGAAGTTGTATAGATCATTACCTGAATCTACTTGGGGCACACTCTCTCTAAGACCCCAGCTAAGCAATACAAACAATGGTGATGAACAGGTTCTCCCAGACTCCCTTTGACCCCACTTCAAAAATGTGCAGAGGCCGGGCATGGTGGCACTTTGGGAGGTCGAGGTGGGCAGACCACAAGGTCAGGAGTTCGAGACCAGCCTGACCAACATGGCGTAACCCTATCTCTACTAAAAATACAAAAATTAGCTGGGCATCTGTAATCCCAGCTACTTAGGAGGCTGAAGCAGGAGAATGGCGTGAACCTAGGAGGCGGAGGTTGCAGTGAGAGGAGATCATGCCATTGCACTCCAGCCTGGGCGACAGAGCAAGACTCTTTCTCAAAAAAATAAAAAAAAAAAAAGTGCAGAACATTTGAATAAAAAGGTGTCATTAATCTAGGATGTTCGTAAGTTATTTACAAAAAAGTTGGAAAAAATTTCCTTTCACATTCAAAGTCAGACTTCTATTAACTTATTGGGTCAAATTAACATGTTTAAAATGACTTTAGAGAGCCTGCTTTGAGTTTATGAGAAGAAATATATAAACTATTGAAGGAAGATAGAATGAGTGAGAAAATCAGAAAGTAACTTAGTATAATCCAGACAACAAAGAGAAGGAATGTGTGTGGTATTTGTTTGGGGTGGATGTTGATAACTATAGATGGCATGACACAAATAATCAAGTTACATTTTATGGTAGGCGTATTTCTAACAGCTTAAGTTTATACACTATTGGATATTCCATTAGAAAAGATATTGTGCAAAGTGATTCAAAATGAGTTTCATTAGCACAGAGAAGTAGAGCCTACAGAAATAGAAAACACATTCTATAAATTTCCAAAAGGGATCATTCCCAAATACCCCTTACTTACTTTATTGAGGGGTTAAAATAGTCTAAGGATGTTTTAACTCTTCTAGAGAACACATCTGCACACTGGGCTCTTTTTGGTTAAAATGCTCTCATGATGTCTTATAGAACGGGCTTGTTCTGGCTTAAGTCCTGATGTAAAGAGTGAAATATGGGATAAAAGCATGGACACAGGAATCAAAGTGTCTGGGGCACACATCCTGCATTTATATCAGCCCAACTATATGCCTTGGGAAATTTACTGAATTTCCCTGAACCTGATTCTCATTTGGCAAAAATAACCTTACAGGGTTATGGTAGAATTACTAAGACAATATACATGAGAAAGTGGCATATAGTAGGTGATTATAAATTATAATGATTATTATTATTTTCCTATTTCCCTACACAGATCATACCTCAGCCTATTTGTGAAAATCATACTTTCCCAGTTCTCACTGTAGTGAAACAGCCAGATCTCAGATGAATAACCACATTGTGTAGAAAATGGAATCATTAAGTAGCCAAAGGAGGAGTTAGAAGAGAGAGAAAAGAGAAATTATGTAGGAAGAACAAGAGACAATTCATTATTTCTGACTCTTGGATTACATTTCTATTCTTTGGACATGAAAAGTTATGAGAATAGAGAGGAAAAGAGCTATCGCTTTTGTGCTTTTAATTTGATTTTCAGTTTGAATCAGGTGCACCCGAGAGGCAAGGCCTGGCAGAATCAACCCCTGTATTAGGTGGTTCCCATAAGCCAATACCTATTTATTCAATTGAAAAGAAGACTGGGTATGTTGATGTAGCCAGTTTCAAAGCAAGCCAAAGGCTAAGTGCAGGGAGATGCAAGCTGTTCAGTGGAGAAGAACACAACAACTTCCAATAAAGGGAAGTACTTTCAAGGTAGAATGCACCTTAACTGATAGAGTATCAAGGGTTTATTCATAGTTCAGAAATAAAATTGCTTCTGTTCCCATCAATATCTGGGGTTTGATGAGTTTAATTTAAGGAAGCATTTTAATAAGTATTGATATAAATTGGTTTTCTCTAAAAAGGTAATCTTTATCATTGTCAGTTTACTATTCAGAGAGAACTAATTTCTTTTCTGCCACCTACTAGTATTATAATATTAGAAAAGCCACTTTATGTGGTATTCATTCTTTTATTAATTTAACAAATACAAACTGTGTCTTTTAAAATGCCAGACATTACATAAGGCCCTAGAAATACAAAATTGTCTCTAACAAGATTGCTCTTCTCAGAAAAGTTTATAGTCTAGTGGGGAAAAATAGACATCTGAACACAAAATTTCAATAAAGTGAGAAAAGTGATTATACTGATATGCACAAAATGGCACACTTTCTGAAGAAATGTAACAGAGGCCTCGTGAAGATAGTTACAACCGAGCTCAGTCTTTAAGATAAGTGGCATTATTGAGGTGTGAAAAACAGTTCTCTAAAATGTGGCACTTTGGCGTGCTGACTGCTTTGAAAATTGAAAGGGTTCAGAAATAAGTCTCAAAACCAAGGTTTCTCTCTGACTTTGCCCTGCCTGCCTCTCTCTGATCCTCTTTCCCAAAGCACTAAGAGGGACTCTCTCAGGAATTTCCTTACCTAAGAAAACTTCTTTCCAAAAGAAATGCAATAGTCTTAAGACCCTCCCTCCTCGCCTATAGTCCCAGCTACTCTGGAGGCTGAGGCAAGAGAATCGCTTGAACCTGAGAGGTGGAGGTTGCAGTGAGCCTAGACCGCGCCGCTGCACTCTAGCCTGGGCGACAGAGCGAGACTCCGTCTCAAAAAAAAAAAAAAAAAAAGAAAAGAAAGAAAGAAAAAAGACCCTCTCTCCTTAGGAAACTCATTAAATAACCAAGACAGATTAACCACTGGAGAAGAGACAAGTCTGGGAGTCATTGCCATGCCCAGAAAGACCTCATTTATTCTTATCAGGGCAGCCCTGAGAGTTCACCTGGGGGACTTTGTCTGCATAATAAGACAAATTTTGTTCCTGTGCAATCCTGCTACTCATCTTGTCCTATCCAGCTTCCAAAGAGAACCATTTACAAAATAATGTCTGCCTTCTGGGTTATAATACATCTCTCCCCTCTAAAGAAAATATTTTCGCAGTAACCTTCAGGCCGCTGTGCTCTTCTAGTCTCATACCCTTTGTAGAGCTTCTGTGTTTATGCATGTTAAATAAATTTTGTGTATCTTTTTCTCTTATTAATTTTTCTTTTGTCAGTTTATTTTTAATGAGCCTTCAGTGGACAGAGAGGAAGCTCTTCCTCCACCACTACAGCATTTTCCAGATTGAAAAAAGCAAAACAGGTATTGCAGAGTCTCCTCAGATCTGGGAAAACACACTGTGTTTATCTATTAGTACATTTTGGTTACAACACAAAACACTTCTGTGATGGATACATGGGTTTTTTGGACACTAAGCAGTTCTCCAACTCTCTGGACACCAGCAGGATGTCCTTTAATTCAGTTCAATTCTGACACTATCTACCTGGAGATAGCATCAGATCCTGCAGGTTCAGGGCTCAGTGCCATAAGACTGTCCCCACTTCAGATGCCAATCACAAGTCCCAGGTTGTCATTTGTGCTTCTGACTGACCAACTATAAATCAGGGTTTCCATGACCCCCTCCTTGGATTGTATTAATTTGCTAGAGTGGCTCACAGAACTCGGGAAAACAATTTCTTTACATTTATCTATTCATTGTAAAGGATATTACAAAGAATACAGATGACAGATGAACAGCTAAATGGAAACAATACATAGGGCAAGGTAAGTGGGAAGGGGTGCAGAGCTTCCATGCCCTCTCTAGGCATGCAATGCTCGTAGTGCCTCCCTGTGTGCAACAACACAGAAGCTCATTCAACCTTGTTGTTCAAGAGTTTTTATAGAGCTTAGTCTCCATCACCCTTCTGCCCTCTCCTTCCCAGAGGTTAGTGGTGAGGAAGGGGGTGGGGGGGCTGAACATTCTAACACTCTAATCACCAGCCCCATCCTGAGGTTATCTAGGGGCCCTACCCTAGGTCATATCTTTAGCATTAACTTAGATGTGATAAAAAGGGGGATTATTATAACAAAAGTATCGCTCAGGAAATTCCAAAGGTTTTAGAGCTCTGTGATAGGAAGTGGGGATATTTTGCATTTTATAAACCACGTAAGGATATTGACTGTTTTAGCTCATTTAATGTATGTCAAGTACTGAGATAAATACTTTATGCATTAACAAATTTGAGCATCAAACAATTGTCCTGGATAAGTTTTTTTATTATTTAGTTAAAGAGTACCTTCTTTGTGCAGGCACTGGGCTGAGGTGAACCCTTCAAATAAAAGAGGACAACCTACTAACAAAACAATGAGGCAGAAGAAGTGGGTGCTAAGAGGAAAAGTAACTAAGAGGAGAAGTAACTATTAGCAATTACTTGTTGCCAGTAAATGAAGGATGAGAGACGGAGTAATAAAGGTAACTGATGGTTTCCACGTTATTCTGATGCAGAAAAAAAAGTACGAAGATAATGGACAGTTTTTGCTCTAAAAAATTGAGTATATGTGATGATGTAATATGAAGCAGGAAAAACATTTGGAAGAACAATCTAATGGGGGAAAAAGGTGAATTTATCTTAGAACCTTCAGCTTTGTCTATGAAAATAAGATATATAAATACCTGCCTAAGTACTTCTCAGTTTATTTAAGAACACTGAATTATATGGTGATGCTTATAACTCTAAAACATCTGCAAATTTTAAAACAATCTTACTCCAAATGAATGAAAATCCACAATGATGTGAACTCATTTAGTCTGTACACTTGAGAAATTCTGAGGATCCTTCAGGAAGCAAATGGCTACTCCAGTACATCTGGCACAGAGTAGATAATTAATATATATTTGTTGGGTGAAATAATAAAATAATTAATGCACAGATTCATGGTAAGATTATTTATTATTAAATTTACATACAATACAAATGAGAGAAAGCAGAACTGCATTAATGCGAAAGATAGTTAAATTGATAAACATTAATTTCTTAGGCTTGTAGAGTTTTACCCTGGGAAATAGTTCATAAAAGGAGAAATGGTTTTTATAAGACAAGTTGCTGCTTCCTAACTTGGATCATTTATAGCAGGCTCATACACGAAGTTCAGTAGAAATAGGAATGAGGGAGCAGTGTTTTATCTCAGAAAAACAATCCTTAAAATTCTAATGAGTACATATACTATCTCTCCTTCGGTTGTTCAAAGCATCTATTTATCCTCAGGCATGTGGTTGTTCTCTGTGATTTTATCAGTAACTCTCCAATTTAATTTTTTTTTCATTCACTACTTTTCAAACCCTAGCTAAGATTCTCCACCTATTTTAATAAAAAGATAAATGTTGACTTTACTCTTTGGTCGAAAGTTCTACTTAGATTCAAAGTTAGCTAAATCATTTTCTTAAATTGTATTTTTATTCTTAATCTCATGACCACACCACCTCACGAAATGTCATTTTCCCCTCCATTCTCCTTTAATATGTTTGCAGTTATAGTATCTGTCTTAGTCTGATCAGGCTGCCTTAACAAAATACCACAGACTGGGTGTCTTATAAACCATGGAAATTTATTTCTCATAGTTCTGAAGGCTGGGATGTCCAAGATCCAGGAAGCTGCAGATTCCATGTCTGATGAGGGCCCACTTCCTGGCTCATAGATGACCATCTCTTTCCCTATAATCTCACATGACAGAAAGAGTAAGAGAATTGTCTGGGTTCTCTTTAATACAGTCACTAATCACATTCTTGAGACCTCTGCTCTCATTACATAATCACTTCCTCAAGGCCCCAACTCTAAATACCATCACATTGGTGCACATGTTTCAACATATGAATTTTGGAGGGGACACAAACGTTTTGGTCTATAGCAGCATCTATTGCTGTCACTTGCAGTTAGTACCTCAAATTATTCTGTAGATAAGCTGAACCTTTCATGTTCTGTCATTGCTTGTGTTTTTACCTATCATTTGCTTTTTTGTTTATGCAATCATTTTTGTTTTATTGCATTTTTTAAATAAAAATGTTTACAATAGAAAATTGTAATGTTTTTACTATCTACATAATCATGCCAACATATTTTTATTGTATTTTCTCAATAAAAATTTCATATACTCATTTAATTAGCCATATATTTTAATTTTAAAACCAAAATATAATTATTTGATTAAATCTTTGGAACTATAGCAGATCCTGTTAAATTATAGCCACATAATAAATCATAAAAATGAATTACTATGTGGACATTAATCAACACTGACTACCTGTTTTGTACTAGTACCTGAACTAAGTATTAGTAACATAATAGTCAACAAGGAAAGCAAGATTCTTATTCTGAAAACCTATATAGCTTAGAAAACAATAAATATAATATGAACATTTATATTAATATTTATAATATTAATATTTATGAGAAATACAATATGAAAGTGTCATTTAATAAAACTATAATATCAAAGAGTAATCATGGGTTAGGATATAAGTGCACACTACATATGTATGTGTATATGCATATATATATATACATATACACACGAACATACATATATATGAATACACATGGATATATATTTAAATAAATACAACTATTATAATTTGGCCAGGCACAGTGGCTCACGCCTGCAATCCCAGCACTTTGGGAGGCCGAGTCAGGCAGATCACCAAGTCAGGCAGTCAGGCTGGGGGTTCGAGACCAGCCTGACCAACATGGAGAAACCCCATCTCTACTAAAAATACAAAATTAGCTGGGTGTGGTGGCACATGCCTGTAATCCCAGCTACTCAGGAGGCTGAGACAGAAGAATTCCTTGAACCTGGGAGTTGGAGGTTGTGGTGAGCCGAGATCGCACCATTGCACTCCAGCCTGGGCAACAAGAGCAAAACTCTGTCTCAAGAAAAAAAAAAAAACTATTATAATTTTATCACTTTATCACTGTCACACTGTCAAGTTAACTTCAATATAATGGCTTTCGTGTTTTCAAAATAAAGATATACTGAGAAAACTCCCTGACAGAACTGAGAATCACCCTCCCAAAACATAGAGCAAACTCAGAACAAAGAAAGAGGCAGACCACTCCAGGTTAGTAAGTAGTCAAAGATTCAAAGATTTATTCAAAGGAAATTAATTGTATTAGGCCATTTTGGTGTTACTATAAAGGAATACCTGAGACTGGGTAATTTATAAAGAAAAGAGGTTTAATTGACTCACAGGTCTGCAAGACATACAGGAAGCATGGTGCACATGTTTCTGATGAGGCCCTTAGGAAGCTTAAGATCATGGGGAAGGGGAGGGGGAAGCAAGTGCATCACATGATGAGAGCAGGAGTAAGGCACAGAGTATCGGAGGCCCACACACTGTTACAAACCAGATCTCAGGCGAAATCACTCATCACCAAGGACATGGCGCTAAGGCATTCATGAAGGAACCACCCCCCATGATCCAGACACCTAACACCAGGCCCTACCTCCAACACTGGGGATTACATTTCAACATGAGATTTGGGGGGAACAAATATCCAAACTGTTTCATATCAATGGCAGTCTTGGGCAGCAGCAAGATGAAGTAGATCTCTGTGCTTGCAATGCACACCTGTCTACACTTTATGCCATGAGAAGGAGAAAAAGTCACTGATGCTGTGTTAAGCAATCTGATTGCTTTCTTAACCTAATTACTCTCTGCTTAACTGGACTATTTGGGTACCCTACAATCTGGTCAACATTCCTAAGGGGAAAAGGGATGTTCTGTGCAGCAGCAGTTATCTTGGTATTCCTGTCACTGGGTCCTGCAACTCACTTCATTTCACAGTTGCTTTCTCAGAATACATTTTCATAATAAGATAGCCTCTGCACTGATAGTAAGTCATTTTTAAAATTAGCAATGTGTTTTTAAATTCCTAAATAGATTGCAAGTATTTGCATTAATTCAGTAACACGCACATTTGTAACACATAAGGAAGGGTCATATTGTTATAATTGAGGCATAATATAGATACACCTCTCTCAAAGTGGTTGTTCTATTTGAAAACACACATTATTACAATTATTGAAAAGAATATACAAACCATGGTCTTTTTCCTGGAGCATATTTTAAAATATAATCTTATATTTAAGAATGTTCATATATTACACTCTATGAATTATGGTAAGTGATAAATATTTTACAAGCATACCTCAGACATATTATAGGTTTAGTTCAAGACAACCAGAATAAAGTGAATATTTGGATAAAGTGAGTCACACAAAATGTTTGGTTTCCCAGTGCATATGAAAGTTATAGTTATACTATATTCTATTAAGTGTTCAATAGCATTATGTCTAAAAAAGTACAAACTTTAGTTTAATAATACATTATTGTTAAAAAATGCTAAAGATCATCTGAGCATTCAGTGAGTCATAATTTTTTTGCTGATGGGGGGTCTTTCCTCCATGTTGATGGCTGCTGCCTGATCAGGGTACTGGTTGCTGAAGGTTGGGGTGGCTGTGGCAATTTCTTAAAATGAGACAACAATAAATTTTGTTCCATTAAATGACTCTTTCTTCTAGGATGGAGGGGAGGAATAAAATAACTTCTTTTCATGAAAGATTTCTCCATAGCCTGTGATTGATGTATTTGATAGCATTTTTTACCCACAGAGAACTTCTTTCAAAGTTAGAGTCAATCCTCACAAATTCTGCCACTGCTTTATCAACTAAGTTTATGTAATATTATAAATCCTTTGTTGTCATTGCAATACTGTTTACAGTATCTTCATCAGGAATAGATGCCTCAAGAAACCACTTTCTTTCTTCAGCCATATGAAGCAACTGCTTATCCATTCAAATTTTATCAAGAGATGGCAGTAATTCAGGTTCATCTTCAGGCTCCTAACTAGAACAAATTCTAGTTCTTTTGCTGTTTCCACCACACCTGCAGCTACTTCCTTCACTGAATTCTTGAATTCCATGAAAATTGGAATCAACTTCTTCCAAACTCTTGTTAATGTTGATATTTTGAACCCCTCCCATGAATCATGAATATTTTTAATAGTATCTAGAATGGTGAACACTTTCCAGAAGGTTTTCAATTTATTTTGCACACATCCATCAGAGGAATCATTATTCATGGCAGCTATAGACTTAATAAATGTATTTCTTAACTAATAAGACTTTAAAGTCAAAATATTCCTTGATCCCTGAGCTGCAGAGTGGATGCTGTGTTAGTAGGCATCTCCTTGTTCATCTCCATCAGAGCACTTGGGTGAACATGTGCATTGTCAATGGACAGTAATATTTTGAAAGGAATCTTTTTTTCTGCACAGTGGGTCTCTATTGTGGGCTTAAAATAGTCAATAAAATGTCATCCAGGTTACAGAGCATGGGTGGAGTAGATTTAAAATAATTCTTAAGGACCTTAGGATTTTCAGTATTGTAAATAAGCATTGGCTTCCACGTCAGGTCACTGGCTGCATTAGTCCCAAACAAGAGAGTCAGTCTGTCCTTTGAAACTGTGATGCCAGATATTGACTTCTCCTCTCTAGCAAAGGAAGTCCTAGATGGCATCTTCTTCCAATAGAAAGCTGTTTCATCTACATTGAAAATCTGTTGTTTAGTGTAGACACCTTAATTAGCTTAGCTACTTAGCTAGATCTTTTGTATAAGTTTTTTTTTAACTTTTAAATTCAGGAGTACAAGTATGTTTGTTACATAGGTGAACTTGTGTCACAGGGATTTGTTGTAAAGATTATTTCATCACCCAGGTACTAAGCCTAGTACCCATTCATTATTTTTCCTGATCCTCTCCCTCCACACCCCCTCCACTCTCCGAAAGACCCCAGTGTGTGTTGTTCCCCTCTATGTGTCCATGTGCTCTCATCGCTTAGCTCCCACTTATAAGTGAGACATGCGGTGTTTGGTTTTCTGTTCCTGTGTTAGTTTGCTAAGGATAATGGCCTCCAGCTCCATCCATGTCCCTGCAAAGGACATTATCTCATTCTTTTTTATGGCTGCATAGTATTCCATGGTTCTGTCACCCAAGTAAAAATGCAGTGGCATGATCACAGCTCACCACAGCCTTAACCTTCCTGGACTCAGGTGATCCTCCCACCTTAACCTCCTGAGGGAACCCAGGGGAGCCTCACTCCCACTACAGGCATGTGCCACCACACCAAGCTAATCTTTGTATTTTTTTTTTTTTTTTTTTTTTTTTTTTTTGTCGAGAAGGGGTTTCACCACATTCCCTAGTCTGGTCTCAAATTCCTGGGCTCAGGAGATCTTCCTGCCTCTGCCACCCAAAGTGCTGAGATTCCAGACGTGAGTCAGAGTTCATAGCCTCTTCTGGATAACTTGCAGCAGGTTCTACATCCAACACTTGCTGCAGCTTCTACATCAACATTTGCTGCTTCACCTTGTACTTTTATGTCATGGAGATGACTTCTTTTATGTTATGGAGATGGCTTCTTAAACCTTGTGAGCCACCCTCTGTTGGTTTCCAGCTTTTCCTCTCTCAGCCTTTATAGAATTGAAGAGAGTTAGGGCTTTCTTCTAGATTAGGCTTTGGCTTAAGGGAATGCTGTGGCTGGTTGATTTTCTATCCAGACCACTCAAACTTTCTCCATCAGCAATAAGGTGGTTTCACGTTCTTATTAATCATGTGCTTGCTAGAATAGCACTCTTAATTTCCTTCACGAACTTCCTTTTACATTCACAACTTGGCTGACTGTTTAAGACCCAGCTCTTGGCAGGTCTCAGCTCTTGACATGCCTTCCTCACTAATCTTAATCCCTGCTGGCTTTTGATTGAAAGTGAAAGACATATGAGTCTTCTCTTCACTTGAACACTTAGAAACCATTGTAGGATTGTCAGTTGGCCCAATTTCAATATTGTGTGTCAGGAATAGGGAGGCCTGAGGAGAGAGAGAAAGAAGTGGGGAAATGGCCAGCCAGTGGAGCAGTCAGAACACATACGACATTTATGGATTAAGTTTGTTGTTTTATATGGGCATTGTTCACGGTGCCCCAAAACAATTTTAGTACTAATGTCAAAGATCACTCATCAGAGATCACCATAAGGGTGATTATTCCACCGAGGCCATAAGATTATAATGATAATAATAATGAAGCAGCTGAAATGTTGCAATAGTTACCAAAACATGACACAGGGGCACAAAGAAATGAGTTGAGGCAGTCTCTGCACTTTTCTTCTATTTTTAAAAAAAAATTACTTGACTAACACACCAGAAAAATTATTTTATCACATTATTTTTAATTATTTTTATTTATTTTTTTTCTTAACAGAGCACATATTTCATTTCTCTCAGTCACCAGAATGGAAAATAGCATAGTTAAAAAAACTTCCTATTGAATACAAGTAATACTGATTTATTAAACCTGAGCTATTAAAAGTATTTCATAGTGCTGCATAGTGGTGATGTCAGGGAGGTCCGGAAAAAACGTCTTTGAATGTTTTCATGATATAATTGATTTTTGTAGCATTGACTTGGTCAGTTAATTCCTATAATATATCCTAATAGGGCGAGTGAATAAAATACCCACTCTTAAATAATTTGAAATATTATTTGGCAATAAAAGGACTATGCCAATTTAGAAGTGAAGACATGTCAAAAGATGTTATATATAATTCATTGTCAACTAAATGACAAATAAGAATTTCTTCAACATTTCAGATCAAGGAATCACGTTAGCTTTTCTGTTGTATGAATACTGTTTGGAAGAACATGAAAAAAGTGGATAGAAGGTACAGGAAGGATGAAAAGACTCAGCAAACACTCAAAAGCAGGCAAATGAAAGCTAGATTCAGTGAAAATGATCATGTCCGGCCCGGCGCGGTGGCTCACGCCCGTAATCCCAGCACTTTGGGAGGCTGAGGCGGGCGGATCACGAGGTCAGGATATCGTCCTGGCTAACACGGTGAAATCCCATGTCTACTAAAAATACAAAAATATTAGCCGGGCGTAGTGGCGGGCACCTGTAGTCCCAGCTACTCGGGGAGGCTGAGGCAGGAGAATGGCGTGAACCCGGGAGGCGGAGCTTGCAGTGAGCCGAGATTGAGCCACTGCACTCCAGCCTGGGCGACAAAGCCAGACTCCGTCTCAAAAAAAAAAAAAAAAGAAAATGATCACATCACTTTGTCTGTCACAGAGGAGTGCTTAATAAAGAAGAGACTGGCCAGGAATGAACAGAAAAGATGTGAAACTTATAGCAATGAAAAGTGAAGTTTTATCAGCCAGCAAATGAATAAAGGTATCTCTGTGAAGGCCTTCCCAACCAGAAGTTACTATGTTTATTTTCCCTAAAACCAGAAAGAAAGGAAAATATAACTCTAGAAGTATACAGAAATAAATTATGTCTATAATCTGTCACATAAAGTATTGTAGTTCTATTCAGTATTTTAAGTATTTACATAAACCTTCTGAAGTAGAGTAAACCCCCATAAGCTTTGTAAACATTGACTGGAGGTTTAAAAATATTTTCTTATGTTTAATGTGTGTGTGTATATATATTTAACATGAATTTTGCTATATATATTTACTATATATATTTGTGTGTATATATATGTATTACTTTCTATTTTGTTGTATTGGGAAGCTTTAAAATGGAGATAGATAAGAAAATTGTATAGTAAAAACTAAACGTAAAAGCCTAACTCTGCCAGGATTGTTTTAAGAGTTTGCAATTTCCATTCTCTATATTTCAATACAGTAATGGCACATAGAAGGAAAGGAAAAAAAGAAAAAATGTGATGCAAGAGAATATCACAAACTTAAAAGTCAAATAGACCTATGTTGCAATAAGTGTAACTTTCTCCCTATATGATTTTGAAAACCATTTAAGCTCTTTGACCTTTAGATTTCTTATCTATATAAAAAGGACAATTATTTCTATCTCAACTATTGATGTGTCTGGTTTCCTGCTTGGCACAGAGGCAGTGCTCAAAAAACATTAGCTCTTATCCCATGAACATCATTATTTTATTCATGGTAGATTTTCTGTTAGTCACAGAAAAGACAATGTCAGCAATTTTAAAAGTTCAATATGAGGTTATACCATGGTTCTTTTAAAATGTATTATAATTAACAACATCATTAATTCTATACATCTTTTTTGCTGGGTTACTGTAGTCAGTATTAAACATTCAGTTAATATATGATTCAAAGTTCAGTTGCAGGGAAAAGAATCCACTTTATTTTGTGGTAGCAGAAAGGGCTTTTTGGTAGAGCATTAAATGCTTACAGAAGTTTAGGGAAGCTGAAGGAAGTGCCTCTAACCTGATCTTTTAGAAACTATTACCAAAAATCTGTTCTAGAAGCGAGCAACTCAGATTGGTAAGAAAGCTCCACACTTCCTCTGCTGTAATCTTCATTAGCAAAATGGATGGCCCAAGCCCTTTGTTCCACATAATTCCAAAGGCAAATTTGGTTTGTCTATAGGATTTGCCATACCTACATTAATATTTGAAATTCTAGGTTTAAGAAAGATTAGATTTTTTTCTTAGATTTTGTGCCTCTTCTGCATAGAAATTTTTATAGAAAGCAGTTAAAATGGATCATTAATATATTAATACTGTATATATACTACAGTCTAACACAGTTTCTACTCAATAGACTATTTTCATTCTTAAATTTCTGAAAAATAATAGTATCAATAGGTACCTACATAATAAATATAAATATCCTTCATGCAATTGAAATGTTACCCAAACATTACTGAAATGGCACATTCTGCATGATGTCTACTTTTTCTCCAGTTCTACAAAAATCTGATCATAATAGCCATTATGTTTAGCTAGGGGTAAATGTAAAACCAATATATCCTGTCTAAGGTAGCTGGACAAAGGGAGAGAAAAACAAAACAAATTTGGTGAATATACAGGCACTGTAGACACACATATGGGTAGCTTCTTCAGTCTCCATTTTTGTAAGTGGTCATATATGGGTAGCTTCTTCAGTCTCCATTTTTGTAAGTGGTAATAAGTTAATAGATGTACAACTTGTTTCTTCCATCAGCCTTTCTATATTTCTTTTGTCCCTAGTGACAGCTTCTACTTGTCAGAATTCTTTACCTGTTGGAATGACCCAAAACTTTATTCCCAAAGGATCCACCACTTGACTCTACTGTATATGTGTTGTTATTCCAGTCTTCCATGAACCAAATTCACTGAAAATGACAGTACATGAAATACTTCCCCTTACTCCTATTGCATCAAAACAAGCCCACTTGCTCATGATAATCACAACATGTCATCCCAGCTGGCATGGTACTATCCCCACTTTTTGACCAGTTGATCCAGCAGCATAAGCAGCCCAAATGACCAGGTGATAATCTCAATGACAAGTTCAATGGGTCACCATTGGATCATCTGGTGGAAATATTTATCTAAGAACTCTAAACCAATAGAGCTCTGTGGTACAGAGATAAGAAGAAAGTCTAATATATTGTGAGTTAGTCATTAGGTGTAACATACGGAATGTTAATAGATTGGTGCAAACATGATTGTGGATTTTGCACTATTGAAAGTTGGTGTTTGATATTGGAATACATTCTTAAATAAATGTCGTTGTGTTATATATCATTTCAATGCACATTTCTCACTTTATGTTTTCTTGCTAATGATTTGTTACTTGCTGCTTATTTTCTATTTGTTTTAGACTATGGAAATCATGTTAGACAAAATCAAATTAGAGCAACTTTCTTATTCAAGTTCAAAATGGCCCATAAAGTAGTGGAGACACCTCACAACATCAACTATGCATTTGGCCCAGGAACTGCTAATGAACATACACTGTAGTGGTGGTTCAAGAAGTTTTGCAAAGGAGACGAGAGCCTTGAAGATGAGGAGCATAGTGGTTGGCCATCAGAAGTCGACAATGACCAATTGGGAGCAATCATCGGATGATCCTTTTACAACAACACGAGAAGTTGCCAAAGAACTCAATGTCAACCATTGTATAGTCATTCGGCATTTGAAGCAAATTGGAAAGGTGAAAAAGCTTGGTAAGTGAGTGCCTCATAAGCTGAGTGAAAATCAAAAGAACTGTCATTTTGAAGGGTCGTCTTCTCTTAGTCTATACAACAACAATAAACCATTTCTTGATTAGATTGTCATGTGTGATGAAAAGTGGATTTTATATGACAACTGATGTTTGGACTGAGAAGAAGCTTCAAAGCACTTCCCAAAGCCAAACTTGCACCAAGGAAAGTTCATGGTCACTGTTTGGTGATCTGCTGCCAGTCTGATCCATTACAGCTTTCTGAATCCCAGTGAAACCATTACATCTGAGAAGTATGCTCAGCAAACTGATGAGATGCACCAAAAACTGTAACACCTGCAGCTGGCATTGGCCAACAGAATGGGCCCAATTCTTCTCCATGACAACACCCCACCGCATGTTGCATAACCAACATGTCCTTGAATGAATTGGGCTGTGAAGTTTTGTCTCATCTACCATATTTACCTGACCACTCACCAAATGATTACCACTTCTTCAAGCATCTCAACCACTTTTTTGCAGGGAAAATGCTCCCACAACCAGCAGGATGCAGAAAACACACTTTCCCAGAGTTCATCGAATCCCAAAGCACAGAATTTTAAGCTACAGGAATAAACAAACTTATTTCTTATTGGGAAAAATGTCTCGATTGTAATGGTTCCTACTTTGATTAATAAAGATGTGTTTGAGCCTAGTTATAATAATTTAAAATTCACAATATAAAACCGCAATTATTTTTGCATTAACCCAAGTCCACGTGGTTTGACTATAGGAGAACTAGTCCAGCCTTGTATGTTGGTCCCAGATATATAAAATATTATGTCTCTTCTATAATGCCATACTTTGGAAATGTTTTTTTCTAAATATGACAACACCAGGATCTTTAAGGGATCTAACCAGTTACTTGCCAGTGATAGAGTGAGATTGGTGAGTTCTATTGGTGTAAACCAATTGCTCCACTTCTTTGGCTGGAAAACAAATTCATTGTTCAGAAGCAGAATGTACTGATTAAATAAGGAATTCTACAGAGGTAGATGCACTGAGTTCAGAGACTTCTAGAGAGGCAATTTTACTTTTCCTGAATATTTTAGGACATTTCTATTTATAAAGATTATAATCTTTATGTTAAATATAAAAAGTACTTTCAAAGATTGTATTTATAAAAATAAACAGAGTAAGACATCAGTGGTCTGCTGCCTCTATTTAAATCTAGTATTTCAGGAACAATTGTGAGAAATTCTGATTATTATTACTGTTACCTATTATGAAAACCATGATGCCCTTGCTTCTGGCCATTAAACATTTCCACCTAGCCTCTAAATGCTAAGAACTTATCATACTCATTAAAATCAAAAGGCATATTAATTCAACCCTCATTATTATCCTACGAAAAATAGTAAATAGTGTGCTATGGCTTTCCTTACCAATGCATTTCTCACTGTCTTGGTGAAAGGACTCTCAGTTCTTCAGGAGTCATAACTAGCAGATATATAAATGGATTATACACAATTAAGCCACTTCACTGTTATCTCTTTAAGATACTAGGATCCCCTTTTCTGTGTTGTATCATGGACATTTTGGAATCTCAACAGTTTTGCACAAGACATCTTTGAGTCCATGTTTAAGAAACAAATCAAGGAAACAGAACAACTCTTGGTTGGCTCAGTTACAAATAACACTCAGATCCCCTTATAAGTGCAGCCTCGTAAATGTATTTATCCATAAACATATAATATTTATATAAAACTGTGTTTTTCCCTCCTTCACCCACCACATTCATAATTAATTCCCATACATTTTCCTCATTTCCATGATATAAGTTAGAAAAATTGTTAATCAACTATGATAAATAAATGTTATCCCAGATCACCCTAAGATTTCTTTCCACAAATGTGCAAATGGTGCAGTAGGTGACAGTGGTGGGTCTTAAGAATAGGCATGTCTTTAAGGTAGCCACAATAGTTAACATTATTCTAAGTCTTGAGGTAAATCAGAAATGATCTCATCATTCATGGAAGAAAAACTAATAAATATAAACAGAAACTATGATAAGGGAATATTCATCTCAGTAGCAATGGCTATATAGCTTGAAGTACTTTTGTTTTCAACTACCTAGATTTTGGGGGTTGTTAATGAAGCATAGATAGCCCATTCTGACTAACACATTGATTAGTATGCATATTAGGCCTTTGTCTACACAGAAAAAGGGATTACAATTTTTAGGACACTCACATTCTCTGTACCTGTGACAATGTCTTGAGTAGTACTTTGAAACTTGGGCTTGTTTCCTTTTCCTTTTCTAAATTCTCTAGAACAGTTGCTCATTCTAGAATTCATGCATTCTTCATTCTTGTCATAAGAGTATACTGCAGCAGCTCAGCAGCTCACCAAATACTTGACTTCAATAGACACTTTCTCCTAAAAGACTACAGTTAATCTTTAATGCTGTTTATCTCATACAATAGAAAAACAATGTTCTATACTCTGACATTAGCAGGATCCTAATTGCTTCAAACACAACCAGGTCAGATGCTAAATACCAGATGCCTGTTTCCTTGAAGCTTTTTTTCAAGTGCCAATTACTCTCAGTTAGAGTTTATTAGCAAAGACAGGACCCACTGAAGTTAGTATAAGGAAAAAATAATGCATTGGGATGTATTTAATATTTTATTGTATTGAGAGGCTTTAGGAATAGACTCTAGATTGAGATCCCAAAAGTAACTTCCAAGTCAACAACAGAACTGGTCTTTCAAGGAAGCCACTTTTCCTGACATAGTCAGGGAAGCCTGTTGAATCAGGAAGTCACTACTATAGCTCCTTGCTTCAGAACCACAACACCTGTACTAAAACAGACACACACACACACACACACACACACACACGCATGAATATACAGAAATGGATGCTTTGTGCCCTTCTTCTCTCTGTTCTTAAATCAAGATTTTTAATTCAAGTCTCATTTAAATGTATCTGATTTGAGGAATGTAAACTAAAACTACAAATATGGGCATAAAAAATCTTGTATTTTTATTTTGTTTTACAAATTCATCACTTCTGCATTTTCAGAAAGCAAGTTAGAAAGAGGTGAGAATGGATATTAAATTGCTCAAGCCAATGCATCTACCACAGCTTACTTACATAGTAGTGATTTATGGAGTAAAATCCTAATTGTGGAAAGGCTTTATAATTAGCACTTCAATTGTGAAGTGTTCCCTCAAGCATTAACTCTATAGAATTGTTGCCAAAGTTTTAGTTCAATTCACAACTTTAAGTACATAATTTGTGCCAAGTTCTGGTGTTACAAAGATGAATTATCCCAGTTCCTCACCCTTAAGGTGCTAACAGTCAGCAACACCGAGTAGACTAATCAATACCTACAGTAATTCAGGTATTAACACTGTGCCAAAAAATGAACAACATGCTATGAGATTAATTTAGCCTCTGATGGGTACAGAATAGATATTTGGGGACACTTGCATAGGTAAAGTTAAATCATGCCTTAAAGGATTTCTTGTCTGGCCTTAAATGAAGAGCAAAATATATTCTTTTAGTAGACAAGAATATGAGTAAAGCATGAAAAAAAATGAATTTGAATATGATCCTTGAGCATAGTAGGTGTGCAGTAAAAAAATTGTCGAAATACATAAGAAAAACTAGGGTACAGAGGTCATAAAAATGAACAGAAATGAATTGTTAGATTGTTAAGGGCTGTTTAAGCCAGTTTTGAACAGTAAGTTTTGAGTGGGAATCAGGTGTATCACTTCCATGCCAGAGCATTTAATTGCTGGTACAAAACCACACAGTACTTTATTTTTCTTATTGCTTAGCCACCAATGTCAAGAATGTGACTGTTCCAATTACAGGAAATGTAGAAAAACAGAATTGTTTTGTGCAAAGAAATCCCCTAGTCATATTTTTATAGTTGTAACTTTAGAAGCACTGAGGAGGACAGATTACAGTGCAGACAGCTGGAATCTGATCAAACAGAACACTATGTAAGGGTTGTGATGTAATAAAAATGTATATTTGGTTTCTGTTCCCAGTTCCTGACACAAAGCTCCTAGTACTCTTGTAACTTCTCAAGTGATAGGGATGATAGGAGCATCTCTTGTTACAGTATTTGATATTAGTTCCTGGTTTCTGACAGAAGACCCTTGGAATCTCTGGAGGAGTAAGCATTTTTTTGCATATTAATGAGATGACTCGTAGCTGAACAAGCTGCTATCAATTTCAGGAAGAGCTGGTTGACAAAATAACCAACCTCATAATTACAGGGTTGGCGCATTCATCCCCACTCCTCAACCTGTGAGGAAGGGAAAGGGGCTGGAGATTGAGTTCAGTCACCAATGGCCAATGATTTAATCCATCATGTCTGTGTTGGAACCTCCATGAAAAATAAACAATGAGAGCTTCAGGATTGTAGAGCTTCCAGGCTGGTGAACAGATCCAAGTGACAGGAGGGTGGCATACCCCAACTCCACAGGGACAGAAGCTCCTGTGCTTGGGACTTTTTCAGACCTTTCCCTATGTATCTCTTCATCTTACTCTTCTTCTGTATTCTTTATCATATCCATTGTAAATCTAAGCAAATGCTCTCCTGAGTTCTATGAACTGTCACAGCACATTATCTAACCTGAGCAGGGGTCATGGGAACCCCTGATTTGTAGTCAAGTCAGACAGAAATGTTCTAACTACTTATGACTGGCATCTGAAGTGGTGAGCAACCTTGTGGGACTGAGTCCTTAACCTGTGGGGTCTGCACAAACTCCAGGTAGTTAGTGTCATTGAATTTAGGACATCAGTTGATATACAATGCAGGATGTGCTTTACCAACATGGCACATGTATACATATGTAACAAACCTGCACATTGTGCACATGTACCCTAAAACTTAAAGTATAATAATAATAAAATAAAAAAAATTAAAGCATGGGCAAAGAATGTTATGAGTACAGCTTATGCTTTTAACAATTTAATAAAAATTTCTTTAAATCTAGTATATGATTAATTTTTGTAAACATTCAGTAGTATTAGAAAATATTTGCTTTCTCTGTAAAATATGAAATATAGTATATAGCTATTAATTGTAGCTTAGAAATTATATTATGTAAAATATCTAATCATAGTTATTTCTACTTTGTATTTGTTAAGTTACAGCCAATTCAACTCTATTTAAAAAAAAAATTGCTTGAAGGCAGAATTCTTGGTAAAAGTCATTGCCATTCTCTAATCTCAAGTACCCAGCGATGCAATACACTGTGGAAGGCTGCAGGGACCTCTGCACAGGAAAGCCAGGTATTGTCCAAGGTTTCTCCCCTATGTGCCTATGTGATAGCCTGAGATATGGCCTTGTGGGAAGGGAAAGACCTGACCGTCCCCGAGCCCGACACTGGACACTCGTATAGGGTCTGTGCCGAGGAGGATTAGTGAAAGAGGAAGGCCTCTTTGCAGTTGAGATAAGAGGAAGGCATCTGTCTCCTGCTCCTCCCTGGGAATGGAATGTCTCGGTGTAAAACCCGATTGTATGTTCTATTTACTGAGACAGGAGAAAACCGCCTTAGGGCTGGAGGTGACACATGCTAGTGGCAATACTGCTCTTTAATGTACCGAGACGTTTGTGTACCTGCACATCAAAGCACAGCACTTTCCTTAAACTTATTTGACACAGAGACCTTCGCTCACATGTTTTCCTGATGACACTCTCCCCACTATGACCCTATTGTCCTGCCACATCCTCCTCTCCGAGATGATAGAGGTAGTGATCAATAAATACTGAAGGAATTCAGAGACCAGCGCCGGCGGGGGTCCTCCATATGCTGAGCACCAGTCCCCTGGGCCCACTTTTCTTTCTCTATACTTTGTCTCTGTGTCTTATTTCTTTTCTCAGTCTCTCGTCCCACCTGACGAGAAACACCCACAGGTTGTGGAGGGGCTGGCCCCCTTCATACAAGAGTTGGAGAATGGGTTGGTGTGGGAAAAAAGCCCACACACTTCATATGCAAAAATGTTGGAGAGTATACAGTTGTGTTTTTTTCCTTTATAAAGAGTCTATGTTCGCTGCAGCACAAAGCAGTAGAGGAGAGAAGAAAGCTCATCTCAGACACATTAAGGGGAGGAAATAAGAAGGCTTAGTTGAAAAAAACACATGGATGAAGAGAGAAGGAGAGAAGTCAGAAATAAATTCCAGATTTCAACTTGGCTTTCAGAGTGACTAGTGATGTCTTACATGGGGTGCAGACATTTAACGCTCACCAAATATCTATGTGTGTTCCCGTATATCCCAAGCCTCTTGCTGCTAGATAGTGTCCCGTAACTTCGCAATGAGCTGTGAGCAGAAATGATATGTGTTCCTTTAGGGATTAAAAAAAAACAAAAAAACAAGAGGCATGCAACTTTCTGAAATGTTTCTGATAACAGTGGAGGTCTAGAATTGAGATGGCTAGAGCACTATGTGTGAACTGTATTTTTAAGGAACTTGATAGATAGAAGCAACCGTAAAATGTCCTCTAATTCTCACAATATGTTCAGCCAAGCAAGAAATGACTTTTTCATGTGTAAATTTACTGTGATTATGGGGTTGTTTCTATGACACCTTGGTCAGTTTACCCTCACTAAAATGTGAGTAGGAGAACAGAACATTTGTCAAAATAAATAATGGCAAAATTTATTGAATATTTATCATATGCCAGTCACTGTTTTAAGCACATGTATTACACGTGACAACCCATCTGCTTCTTGAAACAACCTAAAAAGAAAGGGTTGTTTTATCCTAATTTAATAGGTGAGGAAATTGAAGCACAGAGAAGTGAAATGAGTTTATTTTCTATAGCTGGTATACTGTGAGCTTGAAATTCTGGATCTTATTTTATATATGCTAAATTTAAGATGAGAATATCATTGTGCATATAGAGATAATTATTCATACTGAATAGATTTTATTAATAGAGTTGATATTTGAATCCAGAGGACAATATATATAGAAGCATATGAATGCAAAAAAAATTCTGATAGTTACTATGAAATATCGCTATTTTAAAAAAGATAGAGAATATGTATTTTTAAAAGGTCAGAAAGAGATAACTCTAAGAGACAGCAGGGAAATTAAGTAGATATTTGAAATCTTCCTTCTCACCTGTAAATATTGGGATGTCCAGCTCTCAATTCCTACCTGTCTCTTCTTTTCTAATCATAGAATCTATGTAGATTATTTCGCTCGGTCACCAAAGTTTAAATGCCTTCTTTGTGTTAATTGATTTCCGTTTTATGTTATTAGTCCTGACTTATGTCTGGGTTTCCAGACCAAATATATTAAAATGCCTACTAGGATACCCACTCTGATATTTTGTAGGCTTTCCAAAGGAAACATATTCAAAATCTAACATTATTTATTTCCCTCTTGTCTATTCCCTAGTCTTCTCTATTCCAGTTAATTACACACAATTTAACCTTGTTGTTTAGGCCTGAAATGGGGAATCACCCTTAATTCGCTTACTCTTTTCCTCCAAACTACCGGCAAGTGTTGTAGACTTCCTTCAAATATATATCCCAAGTCTTACTACTCCTTACTATTCCTTTGTTATTGTCAGTCCTACACACATTATTTGCCTGTCATGCTAAAATAACCCACAGACATGTCTCATATTGTGTCTGAAACTGGTGGGTTCTTGGTCTGACTGACTTCAAGAATGAAGCCGTGGACCCTCACAGTAAGTGTTACAGCTCTTAAGGCGGCGCATCTGGAGGAGTTTGTTCCTCCCATCCAGAGTTGTTCATTCCTCCCCGTGGGTTCCTGGTTTTGCTGGCCTCAGGAGTGAAGCTGCCGACCTTCGCAGTGAGCGTCAAACCTCATAAAGGCAGTGCAGAACCAAAGAGTGAGCAGCAGCAAAATTTACTGTGAAGAGCAAAAGAACAAAGCCCCCACAGTATGGAAAGGGACCCCAACACGTTGCTGCTGCTGGCTCGGGAAGCCTGCTTTTATTACCTTATCTGACCCCACCCACATCCTGCTGATTGGCCCATTTTACAGAGAGCCGATTGGTCCATTTTACAGAGAGCTGATTGGTCCGTTTTACAGAGAGCTGATTGGTGCGTTTACAATCCCTGAGCTAGACACAGAGTGCTGATTGGTGTATTTACAATCCTTTAGCTAGAGGTAAAAGTTCTCCAAGTCCCCACTAGATTAGCTAGACACAGAGCACTGATTGGTGCTTTTACAAACCTTGAGCTAGACACAGGGTGCTGATTGGTGCGTTTACAAACTTTGAACTAGACACAGAGTGCTGATTGGTGCATTTACAATCCTTTAGCTAGACATAAAAGTTCTCCAAGTATCTACCAGATTAGCTAGATACAGAGTGCTGATTGGTGCATCCACAAACCCGGAGCTAGACACAGAGTGCTGATTGGTGCACATACAATCCTCTGGCCAGACATAAAAGTTCTCCAAGTCCCCACTGGATTCAGGAGCCCAGTTGGCTTTGCCTAGTGGATCCCGTGCTGGCGCCGCGGGCAGAGCTGCCCGACAGTCCCATGCTGCACACTTGCACACCTCAGCCCTTGGGCAGTCGATGAGACCGGGTGCCACAGAGCAGGGGGTAGCACCCGTCAGGGAGTCTTGGGCCCACGGGAGCCCACGGCGGGGACTGAGGCAGTGGTGGGGGGCTTGGGCATGGCAGACTGCAGGTCCAGAGCCCTGCCCCGTGGGCAGGTGGCTGAGGCCCGGTGAGAATTCGAGCACGGCACAGGCAGGCCGGCAGTGCTGGGGGACCTGGAGCACCCTCCACAGCTGCTGGCCCAGGTGCTAAGCCCCTCACTGCCCAGGGCCCACTCGGAGTGCCAGGCCCAGGGCCCGCGGAGCCCGCACCCACCCAGAATGCAGGCTGGCCACGAGCTCCATGCACAGCCCCGATTCCCACCCATGCCTGTCCCTCTACACCTCCCTGCAAGCAGAGGGAGCTGGCTCCAGCCTCAATCAGCCCAGAGAGGGGCCCCCATAGTGCAGAGGCAGGCTGAAGGGCTCCTCAAGCGCAGCCAGAGTGGACGCCCAGGCCGAGGAGGCACCGAGAGTGAGTGAGGGCTGCTGGCACATTGTCACCTCTCAATATTTTTTCTTTTGTCCTCAACAGGTAATTCATTATACAATGCCAGACTGATATATTTAAACATATACCAGATCTTGCAACTATCATGCTCAGAAACTGTCAATTACTTTCTTTCACTTGAAGTATGAAAGTCAAAACTATTTAGTTTGGCCTATGGTACACTATAATATCTGATCCGTGTTCATCACTCTGATATTTCTTCTAATTTTCTCCTGATCACCATCAAATTTTTTAAATTTTTATATATTTTAACAGTTTTATCAAGGTATAATTGACATAAATAGATGAACATACTTAGAGTCTACAATTTGATCAGGTGTGACAATCCCACAAAACAATAACTGTAATCAAGATAGTGACCACACCCACCACCCCAAAAGGTTCCTTTGTGACACTTCATAGAAATTCTTTACCACCTCTCCCTGCCTCCTCCTTCCTTGGACAACTTCTGATCTGCTTCATGTCAATGCAGATTAGTTTGAATTATCTAGAGATTTATAGAAATGGAACATATGGCTTATAATCATTTTTATCTGGCTTCTTTCACTCAGCCTAATTATTTTTAGTTTCATTTATGTTGTTGCATGTATTTGTAGTTCATTTGTTTTCTATTGCAGAGACACATCATATAAGTATACTGAAAAATATTCATCAATTCACTTATTAAGAAGCATTTGGGATTTTTCACTGTTTTCGGCTATTACAAAAGGAAATGCTCCAAATATTTAAACAGAAGTCTTTGTATGGTCATGTGCATTCATTTCTCTTGGGTGAATATATAAGAGTGGAATGGCTGTATTAGAGGAACCCCTGCTTACCAGGCCTCTGGTTTAATAAATGATGACTAGAGTGACTCCATCTTAGAGTGAGTAGTTGGGCACTCACAAGGCACCTGTAAGGGTAATATTTATGGTCGAAAATATCTACATCCCAAGCTGACCACCAATTATATTTACAGAATATTTATGACCATACAGAATATCTGTCACCAAGCCTGCAGAATATCCAAAAGTCCTAAGAATACAGCACCCTTTACTTAAAGATCACATTAATGAGTAAGTTTAGGTTGAAGGGTTAAAGGTTATCAGTAACACCAATAGCCACTACCTTTAATGTGCACATAGGAGCATTCCAAGTTTAATTATAGCTCCTAATAGTTTCTTATAAGTAAAGGAACCAATAAAGGGCATTGTGCTCCTCCTCCTGCTTTCTGAGGACATCCTGCTCTGTAGCTGAGTAGCTTCCAAGAAACTTGTTTCTTTCACTGTGCTCTGTGATTCACCTCAAATTCTCTCCTGCATGAGATTCAAGAAACTGTTCTTGGAGTCCAGATCAGGACCCTTTTACTGGCATCATATAGAATGAGTATGTTTAACTTTTTAAGAAACTAGCAAACTCTCCTCCAAAGTGCTTATGCCATTTCACATTTCCATCAGCTCCTCCACATCCTCCCACACGGTTGGTATGTTTACTCATTTCCTAGGGTTGTGGTAACAAAGAACCACAAACTAGGTGGCCTAAAGTAACAGAAATTTACTTTCTCAAAATGCTGGAAGCTAGAAGTCTGAAATCAAGGTGTTGGTTAGTTCCTACTAGACTCTAGGTAAGAATCCTTCCTTGCTTCTTCTAACTTCTGATGGTTGCTGAAAATCCTTGACTTTCCTTGTTTTATGGCAGGATAACTTCAAACCTCTGGATTCACACAGTTATCTTTTCTGCCTGTATTCCTGTGTTCAAATTTTCCTCTTCTTGTAAAGACAATGATATGGGCTGAATTATGGGCTGAATTTCCAGATAGGGTTGCCTTCTCAGCTACTAGAAGTTAGGATTTCAACATACGAATTCTTCCCCAAATTTATATGTTGAAGTCTTAACCTCTAGTAGTTGAGAAGGCAACCCTATTTGGAAATAAGGTCTTTACAAACATAATTAAGTTCAAATGAGATCATTAGGGTGGATTGTAATCCAATATGACTGGCACCCTTATAAAAAGAGGAAATCTGGACACAGACACATGCAGAAGGAAGACAATGTGAGGACAAGGGAGAAGATGGTCATTAACAAGTCAATGAGAGAGGCCTGGAACAAATCCTTTGTTCATGGACCTTAGAAGGAACCAATCCTGCTGACACTTTGATCTTGAACTTCTAGTCTCCAGAACTTTGAGAACGTCAGTTGCTGTTGTTTAAGACTCCCAGTCTGTGGCACCTTGTTAAGACAGCCCTAGGAAACTAATACAGATTTTAATCATTAGATTTGGGCCCACCTTAATTCTGTATGACCTCACCTTTATTTGTTCACACCAGCAAAAAACCTATTTCAGAATAAAGACAGATTATTGATAGGAAAAATATTTGCAAGCATTTATATGACAAAGAATTGTTATCTAGAATATATAAGATTTTTCAAATCTCAGTAATAGAAAACAATTCCAGAACACATAAGTAATAAAGAACAAAGTCACATTTTCAGGTTCCAAGTGGACACGGATTTTTAGGGAACACTATTTCGCCCAGGACGGTAGGGCCGGGATTTTAAATTTCAGATATTCTAACAGGAATATAACGGAATCTTATTATATATTAATTTGCATTTCCCTAACTGTTAATGCTGTGGAGGATATTTTCATGTGCTTATTCACCATCCATATATTTTCTCTGGTAAATAAGTTGTAAAAATATATTGCTTATGTGTTCTGGAATTGTTTTCTATTACTGAGCTTTGAAAAATCTTACATATTCTAGATAACAATTATTTGTCATATAAATCCTTTGCAAATATTTTTCCTATCAATAATCTGTCTTTTTTATTTCATTAGTGTCTTTCAAAGGACAGACATTTTAGATTTGGATTAATTTTATTAATTTTTTCTATGGATTGTGCTTTTGGTGTCTCATCTAAAAAATCACAGAGCTTTTCTCCTATTGTCATCTAGCAGTTTTATAGTTTTTGGTTTAACATTTAGGTCTGTGAACTATTTTAAATTAATTTTTGAATCTGTAAAGTATGCATTATATGAATTAAAGTTTGTTTACCTCTGCTTGTTTTGTTTTCTTTTTTATTTGAATATACAAATGTTTCAGCAATATTTGTTGAAAAGACTATCTGTTCACCATTGAATAGTCTTTGCACATTTACCAAATGTTTTTCATATATGTTGGATCTACTTCTGGACTCTATTGGGTTTTATTAATCTGTTTGTTTAACTAAATAGTGACAATTCTCTGGGGATGGGGTTTTTTGAGGCCTTCCAAAGCCAGTTTTTCCCCTCTGGTAGCTGCTAGGCTGCTGTTTTTCACAGCTACTGTGGTTGGTTGCAAGACTTTCATTTTTCAAGGTTACCAAAAAAACTGGGGAAGAAGGGATAGGAAAAATGCAAGATAAACACCGCAAACCTTGCTATTCTCACCACAATACAGCTGTTTTTTCAGGAATGGATACTCCTCAAATTTTTGTAAGTCATTGGTTAATTTCCATAGTTCTGAAAAAGTTGCTTTTGATGATTTGTGCTAGTGTTCTTGCCTCTATATAGAATCAGATTTTTGGAAGACTTGCTCCACTATTCCATTATTAATTTTTATTGTTAATCAACCTTTGCATTCTTTCATAAACTTCATTAGTCATGATGTGTTGCCCTTTTTATATATTGTTAGGCTGATTTGTTGAAATTTTGTTTACAATTTTTACATCTGTATTCATGAAGATCTTGTCTGTAGTTTTTGGACTGTCTTTGTCTGGATTTGTATCAAAGTGACATTGGTCTCCCTTTTCTGGAAGAACTGTTATAAATCTAGAATTATTTTTTCTCTTTAATGTATAAATGTATAGATAATAGCATTTATCCATGAAGCCATTGGGCCTGGAATTTGTGTGTGTGTGTGTGTGTGTGTGTGTGTGTAAAAGTGTTTTTGTTTCTTTTTAACCACAATTCAATTCCTTCAATAAATATGAAGCTATTCAGGTTATTTATCTTGAGTGAGCTTTCCTAACTTGTATCTTTCAAGGAATTTTCCAATTTCATCTAAGTTATTAAATTTATTGGTGTCAATTTGTTCATAATATTCCCCCCTTGTTATCCTTTTAATATGCAGAAACTATAGTAAGATCAGTTCTCTCATTCTTGATATAATTTCTATACTTTCGTTTTCTTTCGATAAATTGTATTTTAATTTCATGCCATTAAAAATTTCTATTTGCCTTCTTTTTTGACCCATGGGTTATTTAGATGTGCTTATTTCCAAATATTTGGAGACATTTCAGATACCATTCTGTTATTGATTGATTCGCATTTTAATTTCATTTTGTTCAGAGAATGTACTTTGTATGACTTAAACACGTTTAAATCAAGACTTGTTTTGTAATACAGAATATAGTTTATTATTGTGAATGTGCCATGTCCACTTGAAAAGCGTGTATATATTCAGCTGTTTTTAGATGGAGTATTCAATAAACATCAGGTCAAATCAATTGCCTATGTTGTTCAAGTTTTCTATACCTTTACTGATTTTCTGTTCAAATGTCCTATAAATTATTGAGAGCAGAGTAATACAACCTAAAATTATGACTGTGAACATCTTTTCTCTTTTGCAATAACATCATATTTTTGCTTCATATATTTTGTACTTCTGTTATTATCTGAACTAATATTTAGGATTTTATTGTCTTCTTGAAGAATTAGTCCTGTTAGCATTATAAAATAATTTTCTTTATCCCTAGGGTTATTCTCTGCTCCAAAGTCAACTTTGTCTGATATTAATATATAGCCACCCCAGGTTTATTTACATTAGCTTTCAAATGGTATATAGTCATTTCTCTGTATCCACAGGTTCCACATCTGTGGATTCAACCAATCTGGGATAAAAAATGTTTTCTTAAAAACAATAAAAATAACAATGCAACAATACAAACTAGTACACATAAAAACAATAAACTATTTACATAGCATTTATATTGGATTAACTATTATAAGCAATTTAAAGATGATTTAAAGTATAGGGGAGGATGTGCAAATACTATCCCATTTTATATCAGATACTTGATACTTGTGGTCTTTGGTATTAGAAGGGTAGTCCTGGAACCATTCTCCTGTGGATATCGGGGGAGGACTGTACTTTTCTCTGTCCTTATACTTTGAATTTATTTGGCTTATATACAAAGCACATTTCTTAGAAGTACTTTCTGTTTTGTCTTATGTTTTAATCAAATATCACCATCTGTTTTTTTAGTTGGGGATGCTATTACTCTTTGCATTTAATTTAATTTTTAATATTTAATTTGTAGGTACATAGTAGGTGTATATGTTTATGGTACATATGAGATGTTTTGACGGAGGCATGTAATATGAAATAAGTACATCATGGAACATGGGATATCCATCACCTCAAGCATTTATCCTTTGAGTTACAAACAATCCAATTATACTCCTTTTTTTTTTTTTTTTTTGGCAGAGTCTTGCTCTGTCGCCCAGGCTGGAGTGCAGTGGTGTGATCTCGGCTCACTGCAAGCTCCGCCTTCCGGGTTCATGCCATTCTCCTGCCTCAGCCTCCCAAGTAGCTGGGACTAAAGGCACCTGCCACCACACCTGGCTAATTTTTTGTATTTTTAGTAGAGATGGCGTTTCACCATGTTAGCCAGGATGGTCTCGATCTCCTGAACTCGTGATCTGCCCGCCTCAGCCTCCCAAAGTGAAAATTATACTCTTTAAGTTATTTAAAAATGTACAATTAAGATATTTCTGACTATAGTAACCTGTTGTGCTATCAAATAGTAGGTCTTATTCATTCTTTCTATTTTTTTGGCATCCATTAACAATACCCACCTTTCTCCAATCTCCCATTACACTTCCTAGCCACTGATGACCATCTTTCAACTCTCTATATCAATTAGTTCATTTGTTTTGATTTTTAGATCTCACAAATAAGTGAGAACATGTGATGTTTGCCTTTCTGTCCTTGGCTTATTTCACTTAACATAATGATCTCCAGTTGCATACAAGTTGCTGAAAATGACTGGATCTCATTCTTTTTTTATAGCTGAATAGTACTTCATTTTGTATATGTACCACATTATCTTTATTCATTCATGTGTTGATGGACACTTATGTTGCTCCCAAATCTTAGCTATTATAAACAGTACTGCAACAAACATAGGAGTGCAGATATCTCTTTAATATGCTGATTTCCTTTTTTGGGAGTATGTACCCAGTAGTGGGAGTGCTGGATCATAAGGAAGCAGCGCTGTTTTTTGTGGAACCACCATAGCACCTGTACTAATACACATTCCCACCAACAGTGTACGAGGGTTTCCTTTTATCCATATCGTCGACAGCATTTGCTATTGCCCATCTTTTGAATATAAGCCGTTTTAACTGGGGTGAGATAATATAGCATTGTAGTTTTGATTTGCATTTCTCTCATGATCAATGATGTTGAGCAACTTTTCATATGCCTGTTTGCCATCTGTATGTCTTCTTTTACTGAATTTGTTTGTCAGTTCCAATAGTTTTCTTGTGGAATCTTTAGGTTTATTCAAATATAAGATCATATAATCCACAAAGATAATTTGACTTTTTCCATTCCTACTTGGATGCCCTTTATATCTTTCTCTTGTCTGATTGCTCTAGCTAGGACTTCCAGGAAAATGCTAAATAACAGTGGTGACAATGGACATCCTTGTCATGTGCTAGATCTTAGAAGAAAGACTTTCAGTTTTTTTCCAATGCATTATGATACTAGCTATGTGTCTGCCGTGTATGGCTTTTGTTATGTTGAGGTATGTTCCTTCTATCCCCAGTGTTTTGAGGGTTATTATCATGAAATGATGTTGAATTTTGTCAAATGCTTTTTCAGCATCAATTGAAAGGATCATACGGTTTCTATCCATTCTGTTGACATGATGATTTGGGTATGTTGAAACATCTTGCATCCCACGGAATAATACCACCTGTTCATGATGAATGATCTTTCTAATGTATGGTTGAATTTGGTTTTCTAGTATCTTGTTGATGATTTTTGCATCAGTATTCATCAGAGATATTAGCCTGTAGTTTTCTTTTTTTTTTTTTGATGTGTCTTTAGTTTTGGTGTCAGGGTAATACTGGCCTCATAGAATGAGTTTGGAAATATTCCCTCCTCCTTTATGTTTGGAATAGTTTGAATTTGAATGGTATTAGTTCTTTAAATGTTTGCTAGAATTCAGCAGCAAAGCCATCAGGGTACAAGCTTTTCTTTACTGGAAGACTTTTTATTATGGTTTCAATCTTGTTACTTGTTATTTGTCTGCCAGGTTTTGGATTTCTTCCTGGTCCAATCTTGGTAGGTTATATGTTTCTAGGAATTTGTCTATTTCTTCTAGACTTTCCAATTTTTTGGCATATAGTTGCTCATAGTGGCCACTAATGATCCTTTGAATTTCTGCAGTATCATTTGTAATGTCTCCTTTTTCATTTCTGATTTTATTTATTTGTATCTTCCCTCTTTTTTATTTGGTCTGGCTAAAGGTTTGTCAATTTTGTTTACCTTTTCAAAAACCAACTTCTTGTTTCATTGACATTTTGAATTTTTTAATCTCAATGTCATTTATTTCTGCTCTTATTCTTTTCTTCTACTAATTTGGCGTTTGGTTGCTCTTGCTTTTCTAGTTCTTTAAAATGTATCGTTCAATTGCTTATTTTAAATTTTTCCTCTTTTTTGATATAAGCACCTATAGCTATGAACTTCCCGCTTAGTATTGCTTTTGCTGTATCCTGTAGGTTTGGTATGTTGTGTTTCCATTATCATTTGTTTCAATAATTTTTTCAATTTTCTTCTTAATTTCTTAATTGACTCACTTGTCATTGAGGAGCATATTTTTAATTGCCATGTATTTTATAGTTTCCAAAATTCATCTTCTTATTAATTTCCAGTTTTTTTCTATTGCAATCAGAGTAGATGCTTAACATTATTCCAGTGTTTTTGAATGTGTTAAGACTTGTTTTGTGACCTAGCATATGGTCTATCTTAAGAATGACTCATGTGCTTAAGAAAAGAATATGTATTCTGCAGCCATTGGATGAAATGTTGTCTAAATATTTTTAGATCCATTTGGTCTATAGTGAAGATTAAATCTGCTTTTTCTTTGTTGGTTTTCTGCCTGGAAGATCTGTCCACTGCTGAAAGTGAAGTGGTGATGTCTCTAGCTATTATTGCATTGGGGCCTGTCTCTCTCTTTAGCACTAATAACATTTGCTTTATATATCTGGTTGCTCCATCATTGGTTGCATATCTGTTTACAATTGTTATACTCTCTTGTGGAAATGACCCCTTTATCATTATACAGTGACCTTCTTTGTTTCTTTTTATAGTTTTGGTCTTGAAATCTATTTTGTCTGATTTCAGTCACTATACTGATAGGTATAGTGACTCTTGCTCATTTTTGGTTTCCATTGACATGGAATAACTTTTTCAATCCCTTTATTTTCAGTCTATGTATATTTTTATGGGCAAAGTATTTCTTGTAAGAAACAGATCAATAGATCTTTTTTTTATCTATTCAGCCAGTCAACATCTTTTGATTGGAGAGTTTAGTCCATTTACATTCAATGTTATTATTGATAAGTGAGGACTTACTCTTGCCAATTTGTTATTCGTTGTCTTTTTTTTTTGTATTCTTCTCTTCATCATTTCTTTTCTTTTTGTCTTCCTTTAGTAAAGGTGATTTTCTCAGTTAATATGATTGAGTTTCTTGCTTTTAATTTTCTGTGTGTCCATTGTATGTTTTTTGGTTTGAGGTTACCATGAGGCTTGCAAGTATTATCTTATAACCCATTATTTTAATCTGATATCAACTTAATACTGTTTGCATAAACAAACTAACAAATAAGCCAAAAGAAAACTAAACTCTATGCCTTAACTTTGTTTTCCCACTTTCAAACTTTTTGTTGTTTCTATTTATATCTTACTGTACTTACTGTGTCTTGAAAAGTTGTTGTAATTATTATTATTGATTGGTTCATCTTTTAGTCTTTCTACTTAGGAAAAGAGTAGTTTACACACCACAGATTCAGTGTTATAATATTCAGTGTTTTTCTGTGTACTTACATTACCCCCCGAGTTTTGTACCTTCAGGTAATCACTTATTGCTCTTTAATGTCCTTTTCTTCCTAAGTTCCCTCTTTAGCATATCTTGTAGGACCGGTCTGGTATTGATGAAATCCCTCAGCTTTTGTTTGTATGAAAAATTAGTCTTTGGAAGACTAATTATTAAATGCCTTGAGGTAGTCTTCTTTGAGTTAAATCTTCTTGGTGTTGTATAACCTTCTTGTAGTTGGATATTGATATCTTTCTCCAGGATTGAGAAGTTCTCTGCTATTATCCTGTTGAATAAACTTTCTATCCCTATCTCTTTCTCTATCTCATGTTTAAGGACAATAACTCTTAGATTCGCCCTTTTGAGGCTATTTTCTAGGTCCTGTAGTTTTGATTCATTGTTTTTTATTCATTTTTTTATCTCCTCTGCATATTTCAAATAGAAAGATGGAGTTCTACCTAATCTTCCCTCCCCTTTCCAAAGGCATAGGAGCCTCACTCATAGCCACCGCCACCCCAGACCACAAGGAGTACTGCCAGACTATTTCTGATGTTCCCTTAAAGCCCTTAAGTTAGCTTCTGGTGAATGATGCCTGGCCTTGGACTTACCCCTCAGGGCAGTAGGCTCCCCTCTGGCCCAGGACAGGTCCAGAAATACTATCTAAAAGTCAAGTCTTGGAAAGTCAAGTCCTGTCTTTAAGCTTACTAATTATTTCTTCTGCTTAATCTATTCTGCTATTGAAAAACTCAGATGCATTTTTCAGTATGCCAGTTGCATTTTTCATCTCCAGAATTTCTGTTTGATTCTTTTAAGTTACTTTAATCTCTTTGACAAGTTTATCTGATGAACTTCTGAATTCCTTCTCTGTGTTCTTTTGGATTTCTTTGAGTTTCCTCAATACAGCTATTTTGAATTCTCTATCTGAAATGTCACATATCTCTGTTTCTTGAGGATTGGTTCCTGGTGCCTTATTTAGTTCTTTTGGTGAGGTCATGTATTCCTAGATGGTGTTAATGTTAGTACATGTTCTTTGGTGTTTGGGGTTGAAGAGCCAGGTATTTATTGTAGTTGTCAGTTTCTGGGCTTATTTGTACCCATCCTTTTTGGGAAGACTATACAGATATTTGAAAGGACTTGGGTGTTGTGATCTAAGCTACATGTGCTTTAGGAAACAACCAAAGCCCAGTCATGCTATGGTTCTTTTAGAGTTGTAGAGGTATCAACTGTTGGTCCTGGACAAGGTCTGAGAGAATTCTATAGATTACCAGGAAGAGACTTAATCTATTCTCTTACTTTCTCCCAAACAAGCATAGTCTCACTCTGTTCTGAGCCACTTAAAGCTGGGGGTGAAGTGACACAAGCACACCCATGGCCACTACCAGTATGACTGTGCTGGGTCAGACCTGAAGCCACCACAGCACTGGGTCTCACCCAAGGCCTGCAGTAATCATTCCCTAGCTACTGCCTATGTTTGTGGAAGGCACTGGGGTTCTACATACAGCAGGTGGCAAAGCCATCCAGGCCTGTGCTCCCTTTCAGGGCAGCAAAAGTCCTCAGGCCCTCAGTAGAGGCAGAGGTGCCATCCAGGAGCCAGAGACTAGAGTCAAAAACCTTAGAAGTCTACCCGGTATTCTGTTGTACTGCAGCTGAAATGACACTCAGACCACAAGATACAGTTCTTCCCAATCTTCCCTCCCCTTTCCAAAGGGCAGAGGAGACTCACTTATAGCCACTGCCACCCCAGACCACAAGGAGTACTGTCAAACTATCGTCAATGTTCCCTTGAGGCCCAAGGTCTCTTATGTCAGCTTGTGGTGAATGTTGCCTAGCCTGAGACTCACCCTTCAGGACAGTGGGCTCCCCTCTGGCCCAGATCAGGTCCAGAAATGCCGTCTGAGAGTCAGGTCCTGGAATCGGGGACCCAAAGAGCATGTTTGGTGCTCTACCCCACTATGGCCATGCTGGCATCTGAAGCCAGGAAGTCTCTGAGGCTCACCCATGGCTCTCAACATAATACCTAGCTATCACTGCTGGTATTCAGGGCCTCAAATCTCTTCAGTTAGAAGATGATGAATGCTGCCAGGACTGGGTCCTTTCATTCAAGAAAGTGAGTTCCTTTCTGGCCACAGGTTTGTCTAGAAATGTCACCTGATAACTAGGACCTGGAACAAGGAACTCATGACTCTGACCCACTGCCCTATCCTGCTATGGATGTGCTGGTACCCAACATGAAAGACAAAATCCTCCCCACTCTTCCCTCTCCTCTCCTCAGACAGAAGGAAGTGGTCTCTTTTGAAGTTGTGAACTGTGCAGCCTAAGGTTAGGGGAGAAGTGATGCTAGCACTCCCTTAGCCATCCCAGCTGTTGTCTCATTATGTCACATGCCACCCCCAGTCCACTGTCTTTCAGCCTAGCTCATCACTAGAGAACACAGAGCACTTTGGCCTTTGGTGGCACGGTTTTTAAGAAATCAAGTTCTGACCACTGGGATCAGCAACTCCCCTCTGGCTAGGGCTGGTTTAATTGCTCTCTTCATGGTTAGGCATTAGTTGAGCTTGGTCCAGTTTTTCTTTCTGCTCTAACCAGACAACACTGAGCTCAATGCCTCACAAGTGCTGCGTTATCCCTCCCCCAGCACCCAGAGATGCTCTCTGCACCATGCTGCCACTACTAAGGGGTGGGGGAGGGGTGGTGTCAGCAGCTTAGGACTGCTTTTGCTATCTCTTCAGTGACTCTTTCAACAATATGAAGTTAAAACCAGTTACTATGAGTGCTTACCTTATTTTTAGTTCTTATGAAGGTGTTTTTTCTGTGTAGATAGTTGTTAAACTGGTGTCCTTGCAGAAGGGACGATAGCTGGAGCCTTCTATTCCACCATCTTCCTCTGCCCTCCTCTAATATGGTTTTTGATATGATTAGACTTGAGTCAATTATCATGCTATTTTTTCCGTATTTGTCCCACCTTTTCTTTGTTTCTCTTATTTCTTCTGATATCTTTTGGATTAAGTAATTTTGCTATTATATCGTTTTATTTTATTTATTGGCTAATTAGCTGTAATGATTTTGTTGCTTTAGTGGTTGTGTTAGAGTTTATAATATACAACTTTAACTTATAACAGTTTACCTTCAATTTATATTTTACATATTATATAAGAACCTGGTAACAGTATTCTTCAATTTCTCAAGGCTACTGTTGTCATATAATATATATCCAACAATGCACTTATGATTTTTTAGTCAATTTTCATTTAAATACATGTAAATAGTAAGAAAATAAACATATATTTACCCATGTAGCTACCCCTTCTGGTATTCTTCATTCTTTTTTTAATAGATCTATGATTTGATTTGGTTTTATTTTCCTTGGCCCCGTAGTGCTAAATTTTTTTATCTCTTGCATATCTGAAAATAAGTTTTTATTTTATCTTAGTTTTTTATTGAGGTGAAATCCACATAAGAGAAAATTAGCCATATTAAATTATATTATTGAATTGAATTTAGTATATTCATAATGTTGTGCAAACATCAGTTCTAACTAGTTCCAATTGCTTTGTTTTTGAAAAACATTTTGGCTAGTATACAATTTTAGGTTGACAGTTTCTTTTCTTAATAGTACTTCTAAAATATTCTTCCACTGTTTTATCACTTGCTTTATTTACAAAAGAAAAACCTGCTTTTATCTTAATCTATCTTCCTGTAAGACACATGCGTTTTTGTCTCTGCTTTTAAGATTTTCTATTTATCATTAGTTTTGAGCAATTTGACCATGAAGCACTATGTAATTTTCTTTGTATTTCCTATAGTTGGGATTATCTTAGCTTTTTAGATTTGTAAGTTTATGATTTTCATCAAGTTTGGACTTTTTAAAAATAATTATTTCTTAATTTTTTAAAATCTCCCTTATCCCAACCCTTTTGGTAACTCCAATTATCCACATTTTAAACCACTTGAGTTTGTCCCAGCTCACTGAAGTTTTTATTTGTTTTTCATTTTTTTGTTGTTTTTTGTTTTGTTTTGTTTTGTTTTGAGATGGAGTCTCGCTTGGCCACGAGGCTGGAGTGCAGTGGCACGATCTCAGCTCACTGTAACCTCCACCTCCCAGGTTCAAGCGATTCTCCTGCCTCAGCCTCCTGAGTAGCTCGGACTACAGTCACGTGTCACACGCCCAGCTAATTTTTGTATTTGTAGTAGAGACAGGGTTTCACCATGTTGGCCAGGATGGTCTAGATCTCTTGACCTCGTGATCTGCCTGCCTCGGCCTCCCAAAGTGCTGGGATTACAGGCGTGAGCCACTGCACGTGTGTTTTATTTCTGATATTTTCTGTAGCTACAGTTTCAAGTATATTAATCTTTCTTACCCCTATTCAATGTATTTTTCATCTCAAATGCTATATCTTTCATCTCTAAAATTTAGATTTGGGTCCATTTGTATCTACTTAACTATTTGGACATATGTAATACCGTAATAATAGCAGTTCTAATGTTTATACCTGCTAATTCTAATATCTGTGCCAGTTCTAGGTCAGTTTCAGTGTTCTTTTTCTCTCTATTATGGGTCATATTATAAGTGAAGAAATGAAGATTTGCTGTGAGTGTCCATGAGGTAGTGGCAAATTATGTATATAGCACATCTGAGAAGGTGAGAATATAAGAGGATTTTTCTTTTTTAGAGACCTGAAGTTGCAAGAATGCACAAAAACAGGGATATCAAGTCAGGAGCCTCTTACTCAGGCCCCAAAGTTTTAGAACTTGGCTACCTACTCATGCTGCTAAAGACTGGCTGCCTACTCAACGCCTGTAAAGTGTGGGTGGTGGAACTGAAGACCATCGCATAAAGCTGAATCTCCAAAGACCTAACTCCTCGCTTTGCAGAGCTCTTCACCAGGAGGAATAGTGAGATAATTATCTATCTCTGCCCTCAATCTGGGGGCAAGGAAAAAAAAGAAATATTTACTCTGATATTTCCTCAGTATAAACCCACCCTCAGTAGGACTTGGGGGCAAAATTTACAACCTGTCACCCTAAAAATTCAAGAAGAAAATAAAATATAAAGTGGTTCAGTCAGCAGTTTTTCTCTGTGGAGTAACTGGTTGAAATTGTCTAAATTTGACATTTCCTTCTTCACTTGTTTTATTTCTTTTTTAATTTCTGAGTGCAAAACTCTGTTGATTTTCCTTTATTCTAAACAATATTTATTCTGCACTATTTGTCATTATCTCTCAGGCCAGGCCATGTATCTGACCTTTGGGGGCTTTATATTTGAAACTCATGATTTCAACTACTATGTGCATATATATACATATTTTTTCCAAATCTCTATTTATATATTTATGATTTATGTCTAATTTGCATTCTAGTTCTCACTCCAAGTCCTTAGACCCTGATGTCTATAATACATCTCTAATTAGTTGTTCAACTCACTAGTATACAGAGAAAATTAAAGTCATTTGATGGTCAACATTTCTTAATGTTGTTACTGCTATAAGATTTCTGCAAGATAAAATATGTTATCAGGAAATCATGTCGCTGAAAACTCTTGGAGTACTGAGTTCTTTGATTTCAATCCTATCTGCTACTTATGTATATGTGAGAGTTAGAATTCTCTAAGCTTTAAAATTCTGAGCCTCAGTTTTCTTATCTGTAAGTTGGGAACTATAGAAACTACGTCACTTGTTATTGTGAGTGCTAAATCAAATCCTTAATAAAAAATCATTGATATACCTAGTATATGTTAGGCCCTCTACAAAAGATAGTGGTGCTCTTCCAGGTATTTTGTGTTTTCAGTTATATTTTTATTACCAGGTAGCCAATTGCATCTATCTGTTAGGATTTTCAAATTATTCTCTTTGAAAGCTTATTTGATTCTCAGGTTTTATAGTTTAGATTTTGGAGTAATTAAGAATATATATTGAGGTTAATGTTTTTCCTTCATAGTAATAAATATATCTCTTTCTAATTGGGTAAAAATATACATATGTGACTTTTAAAAATTTTAATGAATATTTTGGAGTGTCTCTACTTTTAAATCTTGGGGAAACTTTTCATTGACAATCACGGATATTTTTACCTGCTTGATTTTCCCATTCATCTCCTAACTGATTATTTCATAAAAGTCTCTTTTCTAAGAAAGATTAAATTCTACCCTCTGACACAAATTAATTATTCATTAATTACATGTTGGAAATGTCACCAACTCTACTTTGCACTGAACTGTCCATGTTTAAATCCTGAAATAGTCTCCACATTATATAATCAGTATGTGTGTAGGGACGTGAAAGCTTTGAAACAAATTTTGGGAAAGACTTTTAGAAATGTGATTTGTATTATAATAGAGACTCCTTAATGCTTTTTTATGTGCAATGACTTTTATCAAATGATGTGATTTAGAAAGATATCTTGCTCTCATTTTTCTTAAGATTTTTCAATCAACTTCCAGTTTCTGATTCTGACTTTTTCTAATAAGTGAACACCTACTGAAGAACATCAGCAATTTTGTGCATGGAAATTGAACGGGGAAAAATACCGTTTGCCTCAGCAGGGGAGTATCCTGACATTCATTGTTTTCTTATATTTTATTGTAAACCAATAATGGACCCAAAAAGTGTTTATTGCAGAGGAGGTTATGATTAATTTTTCTGGTAAGTGGACAAAAGTATTCCTTTAAACCTCCCTGTGTGCAAGATACAAGATAAATATTATAATGTTATTAAAAGCAAATATTGTAATATTTTTTCTTATAGGTTTCTCATTTTTACTTCAAAATACTAATAAAATTTATTCCGAATTTATTATTTTAATGAGACTTGGCATTGCCAATACAGCACATACTGCAGAGAATTCTATTTCCATTCAATTAAAACTAGTTAAGAAACATCTGTTCAAAAACTTTTCTTAGAAAAAGAATTATAACCCATTTTCAATTTTGTTTAACTTCATGAATAATTTCCTTTTTTTTGTAATTTTACAGTGGATGTAATTTGAAAGAGTACTAATGTTTCATTATCAGGAATGTAGTTCATGCCTGAATGAAAAGTACACATAATAATCCCACATAGAGGCAGAGGACGCTCGTTTGGTAATCCATATTGTCTGGAAGCAGGATATCAGCCAGGAACAGTCATGCATTCACCCACTCACTCGGGGTTTACTATTTGATACGTGCTGTTTATAATGATGAGAAGGTCAGTCCTGACCTCACCTTCACAGAAACTACAGACAATCAGGTGACACAGAATTCAAGTATTTCTGCCCATTCCACATGTATAACCTTTACTCATAAGAGCTCTTAGTCCGAGTTGTATCACTCAAGTATGCTTAATAGGCTTGGTAATCAAGCACTTTAGCCCACGGCTGATTAAAGTAAGTAAGTCAAACATGAGTGAGATTACTAAATGGCAAAGACATTAACAAGAAATACAAGCAATTTAACTGTGAGAGCGGATAGGAAAAACATACACAAAGAACTAGGAAAGCTCAAAGAAAAATTTGACCTAAGTTTGCTTCACTTTACATTTCATTTATTCAACTCAAAATACTTTGTCATATCCAATTCTAATTTATTCATTTAAAATTTTTGACTCTTATATGATATGTAATATGCATGGCTCTGGACTTATAAGAAATATATGACCCCTAAATTAAAGGAACATAGAGTATTGTACATATGTACAGGTATCCTCATTTGTGTGCTTGTATTTAGTGGGGGATGGAGGTGAATAGTTGAGAGTATGGGTAGTGGGGTAGGTTTAGGTTTTAAGAGTCAAAACCAGTTATAGAGAATAGAGGTGATAGAGCGTCAAGAGAGAACTTTTTAACTAAAATAGAAGTGAGTTGAGAATAAGGGTTAAATCTGAAGTTTCTGGTATTAAAACTATAACAAAGGTGGCATGACAAACATGGTATCCATGGAAGGACAGAATGAGGTTAGAATCAGGATAAAGATAGAAGACACCTATCTCACTATAATAGCTGAAAGAAGAAAATGGATGAGAATCTGAGAAGATGAAAATAAGTTAGACAGTGTGAATATTTACATATGGTTCAGCAAATAGTATATTTCCTGCCCCACTGTAAGTAGAGTATATTTTCATACCTCATTGATTTTGGCCTTTGCTATATGAGACGCTTTAGTCAATAGAAGCAAAAGGAAACTCCAAATGTAAGCCTGAAGAGGTATCTTTGGGCGTTCTCAACTTTCTGGCAGATTTTGATCTCTGCCATAAAGACAGAGCTTTTGTGTCTTTAGACTGCCCCCAACCCTCCACCAAAAAAAGATAGATGAAGCAAAATCACCCCAGCAAAATTGAGCCCCTGTGAAAAGTTACTGAGAATAAATGACAATTCTCATTGCAAATAAATACTTACTGTGGTATAATACTGAATTTGAAAGTGCTACGTTTTGTACCAATAGCTGATTAATGTATTAATTCATAGCTAGAATGGGAGTGCTGCATTAACACCTAGAGTGAGTCACACTGGCATTGAGATGGGCTACTGGCATTGAGATGGGCTACTGGATTACAGGAAAACTCTTAAACTCCTAATGAAGGCTGGATAAATAGTGAGCTGTGGTATGTGATAGCAAAGTGTTTGATAAAACATTTGCCTATGGCTAACATGGAAGACAAAACTAATACAGGATGAACTTGTACTTTCATCAAAGTGGGCTTGAGCCCACAAGTTCGAGTCCAGCCTGTGCAACACAGTGAAACCCTGTTTCTACAAATATACAAAAAATTAGCTGGGCATAGTGGTGCACACCTGCAGTCCCAGCTACTCAGGAGGCTGAGACAGAAAGATCACCTGGCCTAGGAGGTCAAGGCTGCAGTGGATTATTATCACAACAACACACTTTGGCCTGGGCAACAGAGTGAGACCTTGTAAAAAAAAAAAAAAAAAAAAAAAAAAAGTAAAATAAAAAGAGTCTTGAAAGCATGAGATAAATGCTACTTGCTGCATTTGGTAAGGTTCTACAGGGAGGAAAATTAGTCTAGAAAAGATCTGGGGTTTGAAATCAAAGATGAGAGGGAATATAGAAAAAAAACATAAATTGCAGGGTTAAAATAAAATCATAACCATTACAACATAACTCCAGGAAAAAGCCAAAAGTCCAGAGCACTAGATAAGAATGTAACACCATTTGTTGAGATATCTGAATGAATTAAAGTAGCTTCTAGTACATTATTTGAGCTGAATCAAAGAGCTACTGGAAAACCCAAGGATGTGGTCCTAGAGATATCTGAAATGTAAAAAGAATCATAATTATGTCTCAAGAGAAAGAGCAATAAGCCTAAAAATATTAACATAAAGAAAAAAAGGAAACTAGCATTTCTGGCTTTTAGCAGTTAACCTTCACTGGCATCAAACACATAGGAAATCTATAGTTTTAAAGAAAGTTTTATTAGCAAAATCACTGTTGTCCTGAAACAAACTAGACAGTGTACTTAAATGTTAAAACACATCAGAGCTACCAACTTTCTACACACAGAAAACAGTCTGAGAAAGCTGCTTAGTCACCAGGAAATATTGCTCCAAAAGCAGGTAAGGAGGATTATAGATAAAGAATGACTTCCCAGAGGTCCTCCTTGTAGCAAGAGTGATAGAGATTGATGAACTAGGCAGTCAATTCCAGGGAACAAGTCTGTATTGTAATTGAGGAACATCCTCTACCCTTAGGGTAAAGGCCTCTGGCAACATTTTCCCAGCAGGAAATCAGAATTCTTGTAAAATCTTTCCCTGGCCCAATGTCCTGAACCTTTTCCCCTGTCTTTTACTAGTTTTGGATTTTATGTTTAAATCTCCTCTCCAGTTTGAGTTGATCTTTTTATATAGTAAGAGGTAGGAGTCTAGTTTCATTCTTCTATGTATGGATATCCAGTTATACCAGCACTATTTATTGAAGAGAGTGTTATTTCCCCAGTGAATATTCTTGGCACTTTTGTCAAAAATCAGTTCACTATAAATATATGAATTTATTACTGGGTTATTATTTAATGTTCCCCTGGTCTATGTGTCTATTTTTATACTAATATCATGCTGTTTTGGTTTCATTAGCCTTGTAATGTATTTTAAAGTTGGGAGTGAAGAGTTTTTTTGGAGAAGTATTTGAGTTTTACTATTTATAAAATCATGTCATCTTCGTCGAAGATCAGATGGTTGTAGATGTGTGGAGTTATTTCTGAGGCCTCTGTTCTGTTCCATTGGTCTATATATCTGTTTTGGTACAAGTACCATGATGTTTTGGTTACTGTACCCTTGTAATATAGTTTGAAGTCAGGTAGCATGATGCCTCCAGCTTTGCTCTTTTTGCTTAGGATTGTATTGGCTATATGGGCTCTTTTTTGGTTCCATATGAAATGTAAAGTAGTTTTGTCTAGTTCTGTGAAGAAAGTCAATGGTAGCTTGATGGGAATAGCATTGAATCTATAAATTACTTTGGGTAATATGGCCATTTTTCATGATATGGATTCTTCCTATCCAAGAGCATGGAATGCTTTTCCTTGTTTGTGTTCTCTCTTATTTCCTTGAGCAGTGGTTTGTAGTTCTCCTTGAAGAGGTCCTTCACATCCCTTGTAAGTTGTATTCCCAGGTATTTTATTTTCTTTGTAGCATTTGTTAATGGGAGTTCACTAATAATTTGGCTCTGTTTGTCTATTATTGGTGTATAGGAATGCTTGTGATTTTTGCACATTGATTTTGTATCCTGAGACTTTGCTGAAATTGCTAATCAGCTTAAGGAGTTTTTGGGCTAAGACGATGGGGTTTTCTAAATATACAATCATGTCATCTGCAAGTAGAGACAATTTGACTTCCTCTCTTCCTATTTGAGTAGCCTTTATTTCTATCTCTTGCCTGATTGGCCTGGCCAGAACTTCCAATACTATGTTGAATAGGAGTGGTGAGAGAGAACATCCTTGTCTTGTGCCAGTATTCAAAGGGAATGCTTCCAGCTGTTGCCCATTCAGTATGGTATTGGCTATGGGTTTGTTATAAACAGCTCTTCTTATTTTGAGATATGTTCCGTCAATACCTAGTTTATTGAGTGTTTTTAGCATGAAGGGGTGTTGAATTTTATCAAAGGCCTTTTCTGCATCTATTGAGATAATCATGTGGTTTTTGTCACTGGTTCTGTTTATGTGATGGATTATGTTTATTGATTTGCGTATGTTGAACTAGCCTTGCATCCCAGGGATGAAACCAACTGTAACGTGGTGGATAAGCTTTTTGATGTGCTGCTGGATTTGGTTTGCCAGTATTTTATTCAGGATTGTCACATAAATGTTCATCAGGGATATTGGCCTGAAATATAATGGAGAAAGGATTCCCTATTTAATAAATGGTGCTAAGAAAACTGACTAGCCATATACAGAAAAAAAAAACTGGACCCCTTCCTTACACCTTATACAAAAATTAACTCAAGATGGACTGAAGACTTAAACATAAAACTAAAGCCATAAAAACCCTAGAAGAAAACCTAGGCAATACCATTCAGGACATAGGCATGGGCAAAGACTTCATGACTAAAACACCAAAACCAATTGCAACAAAAGCCAAAATTGACAAATGGGATCTAATTAAACTAAAGAGCTTCTGCACAGCAAAAGAAACTATCATCAGAGTGAACAGGCAACTACAGAATGGGAGAAAACGTTTGCGATGTATCCATCTGACAAGTCTAATATCCAGAATCTACAAGGAACTTCAACAAATTTACAAAACAAAAAACAAAAAACAAAAAAAAACACCCCATCACAAAGTGGGCAAAGGATATGAGCAGACACTTCTCAAAAGAAGACATTTATGCAGCCAACAAACATGACAAAAAACTCATCACCACTGGTCATTAGAGAAATGCAAATCAAGACCACAATGAGATACCATCTCAAGCCAGTTATAACGGAGATCCTTAAGAAGTCAGGAAACAACAAATGCTGGAGAGGATGTGGAGAAATAGGAACCCTTTTACACTGTTGGTGGGAGTGTAAATTAGTTCAACCATTGTGGAAAACAGTGTGGCAATTCCTCAAGGATCTAGAACTAGAAATACCATTTGACCCAGAAATCCCATTACCAGTATATGGCCAAAGGATTATAAATCATTCTACTATAAAGACACATGCACACGTATGTTTATTGCAGTACTATTTACAATAGCAAAGACTTGGAACCAACCCAAATGCCCATCAATGATAGACTGCTTAAAGAAAATGTAGCACATATATGCCATAGAATACTATATAGCCATAAAAAAGAATGAGTTCATGTCCTTTGCAGGGATATGGATGAAGCTAGAAACCATCATTCTCAGAAAACTAACATAGGAACAGAAAACCAGTGTATGTTCTCACTCATAAGTGGGAGTTGAACAATGAGAACACATGGACACAGGGAGGGGAACATCACACACTGGGGCCTGTCGGGGAAGTGAGGGGTAAGGGGAGGGAGAGCATTAGGAAAAATACCTAATGCATGTGGGGCTTAAAACCTAGATGACGGATTGATAGGTGCAGCAAACCACCATGGCACATGTATACCTATGTAACAAACCTGCACATTTTGCACGTGTATCCCAGAAATTTAATGAAAAAAAAAATCATGTCATCTTCAAGGAGGGACTCTTTTACTTTCTCTTTCCCAATTTGCACGCCTTTTATATTTTTCTCTTGCCTAATTGCTCCACCTAGAACTTCCAGCAATGTGTTGAATAGGAGTAGTGAAAACAGGCATCCTTGTCTTAATCCAGTTCTTAGAGAAAAAGCTTTCATCTTGTCCCCATTCAGTATTATATTAATTGTGGGTTTATCATATATGTCCTTTATTACATTGAGCTATGTCCCTTCTATACCTAAATTGTTGAGAGGTTTTATTATGAATATTAAATTTTATCAAATAATTTTTCTGTATCTATTGAGATGATCATATAGTTTTTGTCCTTCATTCTGCTGATGTGCTGTTGGAGGCCTAAAGATTGAGGGTCGTGATCAACTCAGTATACCACGGGAGGCTATATGAGTAAGGAGCAAACTGTTTCTCATAAATGCAGAGTGTTGGCAAACTGACAAACTGTGTCTGCCACCCAGAAGGACTGCTAAGGGCAGTCATGACCTAGGCTCAAGTGTTTCTTATGATTAGGCATAATTGAAGCTTGTTAGTAATAATGAGAACTTGTGATCAATCAAGCATCTGGCCAATCATTACCTCCTTCCCTCTGCTCTTTCTACCCAATAAATAAGAAGGGCTATGGAAGCTCGGAGGGCTGCCTTGGCTCACTAGAAGCAGGGAGTGCTCTTCTTCCCCGGTTTCCCTTCCTTTAAAACAGCTTCTTTTGTCTTAAGTTTTCATTTCTATGTTCATGCCTTCGTTCAGTCTTGTAATGACGGTCCCAAGCAGTAACAGTATTAACTGCTGTAATGATGGTCTCAAGTAGTAACTGTGGCACTCAGCCACAATATGCTGTATCACATGTATTGATTTACATATGTTAAAATATCTATGCACCTCTGGGATAAATCCCACTTGATCTTGGTGTATTATCTTGTTGATTGTGTCATAAGATTCAATTTTCTATTTCTTCCTAGTCCAATCTTGGTAGGTTGGATGTCTCCAGAACTGTATACATATTTTTCTAGGTTTTTCAATTTCTTAGCATATAATTGTTCATAATAGCTTCCAATCTTCTTTTGTATTTTTGTAGTATCTTCTGTCTCTTTTTCATTCTTGATTTTATTTATTTTGGTCTTCTCTCTCTCTCTTTGTTTTTTGGAAAGTCTATCTAGAATTTTATCAATGTTTTAAATTATTTTAAAACCCAGCTTTTTGTTTGCTTGATCTTTTGTTAGTAGTGTTTAATTCTCTATTTTGTTTAGACCTGCCCTAATCTTTATTATTTCTTTCCTTCTACTAATCTCAGGTTTGGCATGTTCTTGCTTTTCTACTACCTCAATGTGCATAATAAGGCTGTTATTTTAAATTTTTCTCTCTTTCTTTGTGGCAAGGTCTTGCACTGTTGCTCAGGGTGGAGTGCAGTGGAGCAATCATAGCTCATTGTCATTGTAATCTCAACCCCCTGGGCTCAAGCAATTCTCCCACCTCAGCGTCCAGAATAGCTAGAAATACAGGCACACAGCACCACGCCTAGGTCTTTTGTTTGTTTTGCTATTTTTTTGTTTTGTTTTGTTTTTTGTAAAGATTAAGTCTCACTATATTTTCTTAGGTAGTCTCAAACTCCTGGCCTCAAGAAATCCTCCTACCTTGGCCTCCCAAAGTACTGGAATTAGACGCATAAGCCACCACATCCAGGTCTGTCTACTTTTTTTAATGTAGGTGGTTATCGCTATAAACTTTCCTCTTAGCACTGCTTCTTGTGTGTCCCATAGGTTTCAGTTTGTTGTGATTTCATTATGTTTGTTTCAAGAATGTTTTAAAATTTTTTTCTTGGGCAGGTGCAGTGGCTCACGTCTGTAATCCCAGCACTTTGGGAGGCCAAGGCTGGCGGATCATGGGAGGCTGAGGTGGGCAGATCACAAGTTCAGGAGATAGAGACCATCCTGGCTAACATGGTGAAACCCCGTTTCTACTAAAAATACAAAAAATTAGCTGGGCATGGTGGTGGGCGCCTGTAGTCCCAGCTACTTGGGACGCTGAGGCAGGAGAATGGCGTGAACCTGGGAGGTGGGAGGGTGCAGTGAGCCGAGATCACGCCACTGCACTCCAGCCTGGGTGACAGAGCAAGACTCCGTCTCAAAA